>NC_000002.12:30270375-30423126 GCF_000001405.40 Homo sapiens | reverse complement strand
GGGACTACAGGCATGTGCCACCATGCCTGGCTACTTTTTTGTATTTTTAGTAGGGACAGAGTTTTGCCATGTTGCCCAGGCTGGTCTCGAACTCCTGAGCTCTGACAATCCACCCGCCTCGGCCTCCCAAAGTGTTAGGATTACAGGCATAAGCTACTGCCCCCGGCCCCTATTATATCTTTTCTTATTCATGTTACTTCCCTGCAGTATATTAGGATTGGCTTAGAATGTGCCTTTCTAGAACCACTGTATATTTAAAAAGAACCACAAAACCTTTGACCCTCTTTCCACTATGTCTTTTCCAGTATGTGTCTTCATAAAAGGGAGCTCTGAAAAGCTTAGACCCAGAATATATGCTCACCTGCATGGCTCAGTGATATAGGAATTAAAGGATTCTTGAGTAAAAAGAATGAGTGTATTTGTCACTGTGGCAAGGGTGTTGGGGCGATGCTAGAGGATATGCGACAATGTGTGTGGGTGGTGAGTGCATGTCATGCCTGGGCGAGGCTTAGAAGGGGTGTGGTATGTGTTCCTGTGTGTATGCCCTGTGTGTGTGTTGGGGGCGGGGGTGGTATTTGTGGCACATATTTTATGTGTCTGTGTGATTGGTAGATAGGGTTTGTGGTGTGTTTGTATATGTGTGCAATATGAAATGAATATTAGTTTTAGTTTTTTCAGCACACTTTTCCTCTGGGCTGTGTAGCCCACAACTTTTGTTTCCCCTGAAATGCCAGTCTGTTCTCATGTTCTTCTAAGTAAAATAACATGCAGCTTTTAGACATTCACAAACAAAACCCAGTGGTTTTTATCTGAGTCAAGCGCTCCCTGGGGCTTTGCTCTTTTTTTTTTTTTCTCCTCTCCTTCCTGTAAATCCATTTTATGCGTTGGAGCTAGAAGATGACATCTTGTTACATCATGTTAGACAGCACCATAATTTTTTCCAGCTAACCATTTCCAATCTGGCTAAGCAGACAGAACTGAACAATGACAACCAAGCAGAAATAAAGGATCGGCTCACAGCCCTGCAGGGTGGACTCGGAGGAGCCTTGTCCCCAGATCTGAAGTCGACTCGCCGTGTTTTAAGTTTTAACTCCTTAGATTGGGGAGGACGAAATCTGTTCAGGTTCACAGCTCTTCCAGTGATAATGCATAGTCTTTCTCTGCTGGAGCTGAGGATGCCTGTTGTGGGGAGGGGCCTCTGCAAGGGGAGGGAGCAATAGGGTGAGACTGATGGCTTGCCTGAGGTCCTTTCTATACTATGCACAGGTCAGGCCTGTCTTTTGCTTTCCAGCTGCAGCTGCTATTTATAGTCTTGTCTCTGTTTGCTATTCTGCCTGTGACCCCTGTAGTCAGCTCAAGGCCTGTGTTTAAAAAGAGCTCTTCTATGCTCATGTTCAAGCCCACCACGGAGGCTTTCCTTTAGCAGTCTGTGTGCCAAAACTCAGTGAAAGGTCTCTGCAGATCCCCTCCCCACCTCCTGGTATGCCGTGCATCAGATTGGGTGTCTGAGTTCCCTCAACGTTGCCATGCATCTCCACCTGCAGCCTGTGATGTGGTGAGAAATAGTTCTAGGTGGGAGTTGTGCTATATCTCTTACATCTTATTGTGGGTGTTCTGCCAGAATGCCCCTTCCAAACAAATCTCATTATGTCAGCCTTTGGCCTAAAAATATTCACTAACTTACTAGCTGTACTGCCTAGATAACTAAGACAAAAAACTTTAAGATCTATAAAGTCAGCGATGTGTATGAATACCAAACTCAGAGCCAGGTGATCCAAGTTTGAACCATAACTCCAAGCTGTGTGACTCTGAGCAAGTCAGTGACATTCTCTGAGCTTCCCCATCCTGCTTGCAAAGAGATTGCCTGCTTCGTGGGGGTGGGGATGCTGCAAGGACTAGGTTGAGAAAGTAACCTGGAAGCCTCCCTACTTGCACATTCTGCTATCTCAACTTCTCAGACTTCCCAAAAGAATGTGGCAACAAATGAAGGTGGGGAGGAATTGAGATGCTCTGGAGATAACAGAGAAAAAGATTTCTAGGTGTGACTCAATCAGCCAGTAATGGATTTTTTTAAATTGAAAAATACTCAAGATCGAAACTTAGAAGGTATGTGTATATATTGTAAATGTGATACAGGTCAGTAAAAATCAGTTGAACACATACTGCATGCCAGTCAATGTAATCAACAGCAGAGATATCAAGAAAAACACACAGAAATAATTAAAACAAAATGTTTTTGTGATTCTTACCACAAAAAAAGGGAAATTATATCGAAACAACCACAAAAAGGATCCAGAACTCACTCTCACTACATAAATTTAAAATGTGATAAATATGAGAGTAAGAAAAGATTATTTAATGAGAACTAGGAGTATCACTGGTCATAAATTTGGAAAATGTTTTGTTTAGATCAATTCTTTATATCATCTAGAAAATGGCAATTGGGCTAAGAATTATACATAAATAGACAAATTATACGACAAAACTACAAAAATTCAGCATAAAACAGCCAGATCAATAGAGAAATAGGTTCTCAATTTTGGAGCAATAGAATAAATCATGAAGATTGACAGGCCCAAATAAATATTTTAAGAGCTTTCAAGTAATGAAAACTGGTAACTCTAATATAAAATGGCAACAGAGTCTGCAGAAATATTTTTATCAATTATGGTAAAGAGTACTGATACTTTAAAAATTACTCATTAAAAAATATAAAATAAAACATTAAGATTTCAATGGGTGAATAAGAAAATGAATAAGTAATTTACAAACAAGAAATATAGATTGCCCACAAACCCCAGAAAAAATTTGTCTTTATAATTAAATAAATGTAGACTACAGCAACATTGAAACATCAATTTACATTGTTAAGTTAAGAGAAGTTAAAATGTGACGGCCAATGATGGTCTGGTTGTGGGTGACACTGGAGTCATACATTACTGATGCCAGTGTGAATTCTTACAAGCTGTTTGAAAATAAAATGACAATGCATATCAAAACCCATAAAAATATTCACACCCTTTGAGCTTAATGTTGCTCTCCAAAGAGTTTATACTAAGGAAGAAATCAAAAACAGAAAAGCTTCATGACTGACATTTAAATTTTGTTTAAATTTTGTTTAATAGTCAAAATTGATAATAAACTAAACGCTGAACAAAAGGGGCACAGCAAGGAAAAGTATGATGACTATGAACCTTAAGAACACTATGTAGGTATTAAAATAATGATAATAAAAAGGTTAAAATATAGAAATGTTTATGATAAAATAATTAAAATGAGGCTGGGCATGGTGGCCTGTGGATCACACCTGTAATCCCAGCACTTTTGGAGGCTGGGGCAGGAGCACTGCCTGAGGCCAGGAGCTTGAGACCAGCCTCAGCAACATAGTAGGACCTCATCTCTACAAAATTATTTTTTAAAAATTAGCTGGGCAAGGTGGTGTGAGCCTGTGGTCCCAGCTACTTGGGAGGCTGAGGCCAGAGGATCACTTGAACCAAGGATTTTGAGGCTGCAATGAGCTATGACTGTGTCACTGCATTTCAGCCTGAGCAGCTGAGGGAGACCCTGTCTCTAAAAAAAAAAGATAAAAGATAAAGTAAAAAAAAAGTAAAAAAAGATAAAGTAAAAAAGTATTATATTGCATTATATAATTATAATTATTATATATAATAATTATATAATTATAATTATTATATATAATTATTATATATAATAATTATAATTATGTAGAATGAGTGATACATTTTAACAGAACCAAAAGAAAATATGCAATAGTGTAAAAATAGTTGTATTACATTATGCGATTATGATTGTTTTTTAATTAAAAAGAAAGTTTCCTTAATTGTGCTATACTGACTTTTGATTTGGCAAAGAAAAAAAAATTTTTTAATTAACAAGTAAAAATTGTACATATTTATGATGTACAACATGACGCTTTAATATATGTATACATTGTGGAATGGCTAAATCAAGCTGTTTAACATGTGCATTACTTCACATACCTTTTTTTGTGGTGAAAACACTTAAAATCTACACTCTTGGCAACTTTCAAGGATACAGTATATTGTCATTAACTGTAGTCACCATGATATACAATAGATCTCTTGAATTTTTTCCTCCTAACTGAAATTTTGTGTCCTTTGGTCAACATCCCCCCATTGCCCCCACCCCACCCCCAGTATCTGATAATTACCATTTTACTCTCTATTTCTGTAAGTTTGACTTTTTTTATACTCCATGTAAAAGTGGGATCATGTGATATTTGTTGCCCTGTGCCTGGCTTATTTCACTTGACATAATGTCCTCCAGGTTCATCCATGTTGCCACAAGTGACAGGATTTTCTTCTTTTTCAAAGTGGTGTAGTATTTCATTGTGAATGTATAATGCATTTTCTTTATTCCTCTGTTGATGGATACTTAGATTGATTCCATATCTTGGCTACTGTGAATAGTGCTGCAGCAAATATGGGAGTGCAGAGAGCTCTTTGACATATTAAGTTTTTTTTCTTTTTTTTTTTTTTTTGAGGCGGAGTCTTGCTCTGTCGCCCCAGTTGGAGTGCAGTGGCACGATCTTGGCTCACTGCAACCTCTGCCTCCTGGGTTCAAGCAATTCTCCTGTCTCAGCCTCCCAAGTAGCTGGGATTACAGGCACCCACCACCACGCCGGGCTAAGTTTTGTATTTTTAGTAGAGACGAGGTTTCGCCATGTTGGCCAGGCTGGTCTCAAACTCCTGATCTCAGGTGATCCGCCCACCTCGGTCTCCCAAAGTGCTGGGATTACAGACATGAGCCACGGTGCCTGGCCTGACATACTAATTTCTTGCCTTTGAATAAATATCTAGTAGTGGGATTGCTGGATGGTATGGCAAGTCTATTTTTAATTTTTTAAGGAACCCCCATACGGTTTCTCATAATGGCTGTACTAATTTACATTCCTACTAACAGAGTACAGGGCTCCCTTTTCTCCATATTGTCGCCAACAGTTATCCATCACCTTTTGGGTGATAGCCATGCTAACAGTTGTAGGTGACATTTTGTTGCGGTTCTAATGTGCACTTCCCTGATGATTAGTGAGTGATGTTGAGCAAACTGTTTGCCATTTGTATGTCTTCCTCTTTTTTTATTAAAGTTTTTTTCTCTTAAATTTTATTTAATTACTTTTTAAAATTTTTCTTGTAAAGACAGGGTCTCACTATGTTGCCCAGCCTGGCCTCAAACTCCTGGCCTGAAGCAATCTTCCTGTCCTGCCTCAACTTCCCAATGTGCTGGGATTACAAGCATGAGTCACAGCACCTGGTCCTTGGCCTATTTTTTAATCAAGTTGTTTGGTTTTTTTTTTTTTTTTAGTATTGAGTTATTTGAGTTTCTTATACAATTTGGATAGGAAAAAAATATTAAAAAGAAGAGAAAAAAATCCTCCTCATATTGGCCTAAACTTAAATTCTGGGTATATTTTTATTTTAGTTCTTACTACTTCTATTTTGATCTGCTGTTTGTAGGCAAATCCTCCCATCCTCATCCCCAGCTCCACCACAGGGTAAATTCCAATGATCTGGCTGCCGCTGGCTTCCTGATAGAGCCCTTTATGTTACCACGACCCTGGCAGCAAACAAGAAAGGAAATGCTTTATTCTGATCACTTCAGGATTCCCAGCTTCCCTTTCTCCATGCTTTAGCAGCATAGCATCCCTCTTGGCCCCACAGGGCCTGCTTGAGAAAGGCGCATGCAGCCAGGCCTGGTCACATGCTCAGCTGTGTCACAATAGTGAGAGGAAAGATCAGGCTAGCTGTTTACCAGTACATAGTCTCAGCATAGGCAAGTGGCCTGGAGATGGTTGAAAAAGAATTCCTGAAGGAATTAAGGGTTGTCTCTTATTCCTCTTCCTTTCTATTTTCTAGTTTCTTTCTTAGGGCCAATCCTTGAGTCACTATTCTTTTCTGTAAGTTGACCCTATGTGCACCTACACATCTGTTCAGCAGTCTTTTAGTGCTCCACTCCGTTCCACTCCCACGGCTTACAAAGATGAACAAGATACAGTTCCTGGTTTCAAGGAGCCTTCTCTCCAGCAGGAAAATAGATATTAAACCAAAATTCTTCCCTATAGAAATGTGCTAAGTCCCAAGACTGAAATCTGGCATTACACTCTGGGAAACATCAAGAAGGTTCTGGCCCACCCTGGACATTCAGAGATGGCATGAGGTGGGGGGTTAGCAAGACAGAGATGGGCGAAGTGGGGTTGGAGAGGATGGGGTGCGATGAGATGGGATAAAGGATGCTTGAGACAGGGGAAAAAGTGTTAGCCAAGACCAGCCGGAAAGGAAACAAGCAGAGTGAGTTTAAGAAAAACTATCTTTCAGCTCCCTGGTGCTTTTAAAAACGAAAGCTGTTTTAGTGTCTGAGACCAGGATCCACTCCTTTCCGTCCATTTATTTATTTATTTATTTATTTATTTATTTATTTATTTATAGAGACAGTGGCTTGCTCTGTCATCCAGATAGAGTGAAGTGGTGCCATCATAGCTCACTGTAGCCTGGAACTCCTGAGCTTGAGGGATCCTTCCACCTCAGTCTTCTGAGTAGCTAGGATGATGGGTGCACACCACCATGCCTAACTATCCTTTCAGTCCTTTTAATTATCCAGCGCTGCTAGAGAAGCCTCTCTCTCTGACAGCACAGTCGGAGTAGAATGCAGCGGAGCGATCATAGCTCACTGTAACCTTGAACTCCTGGGCTCAAGCAATCCTCTTGCTTCAGCCTCCTGAGTAGCTGAAACTACAGGCAAATGCCTGTATTTTTATTTATTTATTATTTATTTATTTGTAGAGACTGGGTCTTGCTTTGTTGCCCAAGTTGGTCTCAAATTCCTGGCCTCAAGCCAAACTCCCACTTCTTCTCCTAAAGCACAGGGATTACAGGTCTGAGCCACCATGTCCAGCTCCAGGCAATTTCTATTTGTGAAAATGCTTGGATGTTGTTAACTTTTCCTGGATGAATTCTGAGGTGTGTATGAAGAACTCAGGTAAATGTAATTGCTATATTTTTAAAAAAACTTAGTATTATCAAGTTTTCTGTATCTGAGGAATGAACCAATGAGTTTATTTCAAGAGATACATACAAGAAGGTAACAGTTTAAAAATAATAAATAATTGATTTTTAACAAGAGTGCCATGATCATTCAATAGAAAAAGATGGGTCTTTTCACCAAATGGTGCTGAGACCACTGGATATCCACATACAACAGAATAAATGTGAACCCCTCATCTCACTTTGTATACGATAATTAATTCACAATAAATCGAAGAGTCAAACAGCAGAGCTAAAACTATAAAACTGTTAGAAGGAAACAGAGCTATACATCTTCATGACCTTGTATTAGGCAATGGTTTCTTAGATATGGCACTAGAGCACGTGCAAAAACAAAAAAATAAATAAATAAAAATAAAACCAAGAAAGTAGAGAAATTGGACTTTATCAAAATTAAAGACTTTTGTGAATCAAAGGCCACTACCAAAAAGGAGAAGAGGCAACCCACAGAATTGGAGAAAATACTTGTAAGTCTGATAAGAGTCTAGTATGTTGAATATATAAATAACTTCTACAACTCAACAACAGTAAGACATACAACACAATTTAGATATGGGCAAATGACTTGAATAGGCATTTCTCTAAGAAGATATACAAATGGCCAATATATGAATGGCCAATAAACACATGAAAATATTCTTAACATCATTAGTCATTAGTGAAAAATGCAATAAAAAATCAAAATAAGATACTACTTTACACCCATTACAATAACTATAATAAAAATAAAAAATAAACAGAAAGTCACAAGAATTGGTGATGATGTGAAGAAATTAGAACCCTCATATACTGCTAGTGGAATGTAAAATGGCACAGCTGCTATGGAAAATAGTTTGGCAGTTCCTCAAAAAGCTAAACATAGAATTACCAATAACCCAACACTTCCACTCCTAAGTGTATACACAGGAGAATTGAAAACATATGTCTGCACATAAACCTGTACATGAGTGTTCACAGCAGCATGATTCGTAACAGCCAACAAGTGGAAACAATCTAAAAGTTCATCAACTGATGAAGGTATATGCAAAATGCAGTCTAGCCATACAACGGGATATTATTTGATCATAAAAAGAAATGAAGTACTGATACATGCTGCAACGTAAATGATACTTAAAAACATTATGCTAAGTGAAGAAGCCAGATGCAAAAGGCCACATATTGTGTAATTACACTTATATGAAATGTCCAGAATAGGCAAATCTGTAGAGACAGAAAGCAGGTTAGTGATTCCCTAGGTGTGAGGGCTGGGGAGAAAGGGATGAGGAGCTAATGAGGGGAAGGGGGATGAAGAACTTTCATTTTGATGTGATGAAAATCTTCTGGAATTAGATATTAATGATGGCTGCACAACTTTGTGAATATACTAAAAACCACGGAACTGTACACTTCAAAATAGTCGAATGTTATGTGAATATTATCTCAAAAAATTTTTTTAAAAAGGAATGCGGAGAGACCTTTAAACTTCACTGCACTGAACTGAAGCTAGCATTTGGGACTCTACTGTGACCCTAAGTGAGATGTTACAATCTGAGACGCACTTTTAACGCTAAGGTTTCAGCTGGGAATGGTGGGAAAACACCAGTAAGACATTGGCTGTGTCCTCAAGGTGCTCATTCCCCGTTGGAAGACACAGGCCCATTGCGCTAACTAGAACACAAGCGAGAAGACAGTAAATGCCACCGTGGAGAGAGGTGGTTCTGTTTGAAAGCAAGGGCAGGAGTGGTTTATTCTGACTGAAGGAAGACGGGAAGGTCTTACAGAAGAGGAGACATTGGAATTGGGCTTCTAAGGATGACTAGGAGTTTGACAGGTGGAGAAGGTGGGGGAAGAGCCATCTAGGCAGTGGGGTCAACTTGAGCAGAAGTCTGGAGGTATATGAGACATTCAAAGATATTCACATTAACTGGATGGTATGATTCAAGCTATGATTTCTCTCTTCTTCTAGCTAGCACTCAGTCATTGCTTTTTATTAAACATCATAACCATTATCCACACTGATCCTTGGCTCTTGTCTCACAGAACATGAGCCTTCAATGTAAAAGTAGAGAAACAGAAATGTTGTTGAGCCTTGGTAGGGCTTGGCAAGGTCTCTTATGTTCTCTTGCTGTGTCCATATCCTTTTTTTTGTGTGTGAGATGGTGTCTCACTCTGTTGCCCAAGCTGGAGTGCAATGGTGTGATATCGGCTGACTGCAACCTCCGCCTCCTGGGTTCAAGCGATTCTCCTGCCTCAGCCACCCGAGTAGCACCCACCACCTTGCCCGGCTAATTTTTGTATTTTTAGTAGACATGGGGTTTTGCCATGTTGGCCAGGCTGGTCTCGAACTCCTGACCTCAGGTGATCTGCCCCCTTTGGCCTCCAAAGTGCTAGGATTACAGGCATGAGCCACTGTGCCCGGACTCCACATCCTTCTTAGGGTTGTCTGCACACTGGGACATTTTCAGCCTGTGGCTCTGCTCCTGTATGCTGTCTCTCCATTCTGAGAAGCCCTTTTTGCTGCAGTGACTGGCTCCATCCACCTGCCAGACAGACAAGCTTTCGTTCCCTCTTGAAAAGGCTTTTGCTTGATGGAGGAGGAAACCAGGGAGGAGGGAAAGAGACGCATCTTATTCTCCTGAGAAGAGTCATCCTGTTTGTCTCCATTGGCGGCTGGCTTTATTTGGCTTCTATTTGGATGGTGAACCCATTGCCTTGAGGGGCTTGGGGAGACAAGTGCTTCTGTAGGAGGAGTTCTGTGCCTAATGAATTGTTCAGTGAGGAATGCTAAGCAGAAAGCATTCTGGAAGGAAAGACATATTTTCAGTATTGAGGCCTGAGGCCCCTAATACCTCCCAGATGAAAAACTAAGGGAGTGATCCTCCCAAGTGTGCGTGACTGACATTTGCTCCCCAATGCACTAAGCATAAGCTTGTTTTATTGTGTTTACAATTTTGTATCTTCAGACCGTAAATGATTTATTGCAAACATGAATGTCCTAGACAGTAGAGATGTCCAGGCTTTTCTCTAAAGCCAGAGCTAATCCTGCACCAGAGATCCAGTTTGATGAACTCTTCAGTGTTCCCAAACCTCATGTGCTTATGAGAGATCAGGACAGGGAGATATCTGGTCTTAAGCAGCTCTACCCGGGGTAGAATACTGTCCTACCCAGGAGAGGATCTTGGCAAATGAAGCCTGTGTGCCTGCCTGAGATTGAGCCTCCTGCCCTGTGACCCCTGAGTATAGAGCAGAGGACCAGGCAGTGTTGCAAATATGCTCCTCACAAATCCAGATAGGAGATATGGATTTAACACTATCTTCTCCTTGAACCACTTGATAATTTTTTTTTCAATCGCAAGAAAACTTAATTCCTGTTCCACTGTCTCTAGCTCTCTGAGGGATAAATGCTCTGACAATGTAGACAAGGACCAGATGTGCAGTGGATGGGTCAGTCTGTACTGGGAGGGAGGAGGAGGGAGAAGGGAGGAGGGAGAAGCAGGCCTGAATGTCATTACTTGCAAGGGTCAGGGGGGTCAGTGACAGTGGCAAGAAACAGATTTTTCCAGCTGCTTTCAGGCTGAGATTTGTACTGCATAATCTGAATGCTTTTATCTGTTTCTGAAAATAGACAGGAATTTTTTCCACAGGCTGCTCCAATCTGGCTGTGGAGACGTGAGGGAGGATTGCAGGGAGACAGTTGTATGTAGTCCAGTAAGTACGTTTTGTGACCCCCCACCACCCCCCCCAACCAAAATGAGCCTTTCTCCATATTGGCTCTGTGGAGCGACATTATCTTAAAGCCTCTCAAAATCAGGAGTCAAAAGTGCTGGACATACTTTCCATTCTGAATTTTGTGTAGCTTCTGATATCTTGAGCTATCGTTTATTTTTGCTTAAATAGTCAGGATAAAAGGCCTTTGCGAGTTCCTAAGTATCTGTCCAGATACTGGTTTCTTGAGTCTGCGCAGAAGGGCGTATGTGGGAAACATAAACAACACAAAATAAAACGGTTTGATCAGAAATTATAGTTTATAGTGATTACCAATTCCACAAATCATATTCTCCTCCTTTATCCTGAATTTAGACTACAAAGAAGCATCACAAATTATTGACAAAGATATTCTGGAAGGTTAACTCTGGATTAAATCAGACTTCATCTCTCTCAGCAGCTGGTGCCTCTCATCTAAGATCAAAAGGATCTTGAACCTTCCAAGTGAACTGCTGTCAAGCAAACAGCAGGAGAACCTCTAATATTATTTACATAGCATTTTCTTTTTCCAATTATGTATTGGTTTCTTCTTGGTACAAGTCTAGCTTATAAATGTGGAAACCAAGACACAGGAAAAGAAAACAATGTTAAAGTTCAGGTAGAGAGTCAGAGAGGGAACTGAGAATAAGACAAGCTCCTTTTAACCCACAGATAAATGTGTCTAGATATCACCTCTACTTATTGCAACAATCCTTTTCTTTTTTTTTTTTCTTTTGAGATGGAGTCTCGCTCTGTCGCCCCGGCTGGAGTGCAGTGGCGCAATCTCGGCTCACTGCAAGCTCCGCCTCCCGAGTTCACGCCATTCTCCTGCCTCAGCCTCCCGAGCAGTTGGGACTACAGGCCCCCACCACTATGCCCGGCTAATTTTTTGTATTTTTTTAGTAGAGACGGGGTTTCACCACATTAGCCAGGATGGTCTCGATCTCCTGACCTCGTGATCCGCCCGCCTCGGCCTCCCAAAGTGCTGGGATTACAGGCGTGAGCCACCGCACCTGGCAACAATCCTTTTCAGTTGCTATTCACCCATCTACCAAAAATATGAAGTCATTTTTGCTGAGGGTGCAGTAAAGCATGCCAACTTCATTTTCCAACCTGGAGTTTCTTGGGCCTATAGGAAACGGATTAGAGTCTTTGAGGCTGGTACATTTGGGGACCTTGTTTGCAACGTTCCTCTAAAGTAGACCTTATAATGAATGGAAGCAAGAGAAGAGTGCCAGATTATTCTGGAATGCTGTCAATATCCTGTGTCTCTGAGACTCTACTGTTGCCCTTATGTCCAAAGCCCCATGATTAACTCAGGTACCAGTGAGGAGGAAAAAGCAGAAATGTGAACTCTCATAGTCACCTACTGCAGGCCAAGGTCTCTGTCTAGGAACTGCTATGTGTGAGTCAATTTCCTGATGATGCAGTTTTTTTCTGCTCCATACCATGCTGAGTGGAATGTCTTGTTTATCAGCCCTCCAGGACCCCCACACCTGGTACTGTGGCATCATGACGATTGTCATAGTCTATGGGAAGGTGACTTCAATCTGCTGTGTGTATAATACTGTGTGACTCCCAGTTGTCAGCCACTCAGTCATTAAGCAGAAGAAAGAATGGGAAGGCACAGAGATCAGAGGGAGAAGGACAAAGAGATACAAGGAGAGTGACAGGAAAGAAGAAAAAATGACTGAGAAACTCCTAATGCAAAGTGGGTAATGGGTTTTGAAAATAACAGGGTGAGCCAAAGAGAAAGGGACAAATGATTTAGCAGAGAGACTGGAACATATACTGGTACCTCCACCTACTGTACCCCAAGCCTTGTGTTGAACCTGGACAAACAGTCTGGCCCTTCCAGGGACTCCCAAGCACAACGAAACACAGAGCTTCAAAGGAAAGAAGAGCAGGAAGTTGGTGGGTTTCAGGTGCTTGGAAAAGAAGTAGGCTGACATCTGACTCATCCTATTCAACTGCAAGCACCCAACACACACAGAAGCTTTCAGATGAGATCATCTGGTCGTGACTTGCAAAAGACTCTGATTTGGTGGCATATGGGGCTAGGCACTTTATCAACATTTTTCTTCCAGCACAGCAAAAGGTGGGTAGAATTGCAGCTCTTTTATAATAATAAATAATGTTATGGAAAGGAAAAATGAAGTATAGAGAAGGGACAGACCTTAAAAAGGATGCTCAATAATAAGAAAAACAAACACACACACACACACACACACACACACACACACAGACAAACAGACATTGTTCTCCTTGATCCATTGAGAGGTAATATGGTAGGACAGAAAACACATGGGCTTAAACATCAGAAAGACGTAGGCCTAAGCCTGCTTTTGCCACTTACTGACCTTTAGCAGTTGGTTTAACCTCTTTGATCCTCAGTTCTTTCATCTGTACAATGGGAAAATAATACCTACTATTCAGGGTTGTTGTGACGGCTGATGATGAGATGTGCATTTGGTTAGGAGATCAGTAACTGTCAGCCAGGATTATTCTACTATCTGTTAGCTTCAAGCAGCAGTGTGAGGACTAACTTCTCCAGGCAGCTCCTCCATCTCCCCAGTTATTGTTGTTTTATGGTACTTTGGAAAGGAGTTTCAAGTTCATTTGGTTCAAGTCGTTCCTTTTGTGGTCCAGAAAGGTGGGTGGCTGATTCGACATCACAGTTGGGATGTAGATTAGTGGCAAAGCTGGGTTGGTGCACCTGGCTTCCCAGACAATACTGCTTCCTCCTTACCTGTCTGCTTCTGCTAAAATGATGACTGGACCATCTTTGTAATAAGTCTTCAGAAGAAAAAATATTGGTAAAAATAAATGAACCAGATGCCTCCCCTTTCATTACTTTGCGATCCCTTTACTCACCTGGGTTGTTGTGCAAAGCGGATAAGCTCTCCACCTTGTGGGTGCTAACACAGGGATCAGGGAGATTTCTTATCAATGTGCTGGCAGCCCCATCAAAACTTCACATGAGCTTTTTTTGCTTTCCTGGTGGAGGCAGTAGCAGTGACTTGCTGCTATGGGATGCTCTGTCCACTAGCCTTGGCTTATGGGAATCCATCCAATGACTGTGCAGGAAGTCATCTATCTAATCCCCTTTGCCAGTAAGAATGTTTAAAACTGGCCAGAACCTCAGGGACAGTTCAGCTATTAATGGAAAGTAAATCAAATCTGAGGCCCTTAAAGACCCATGTAGTATAAACTGCATTTCCATAGACCTTGAAGCACATCTAGAAAGCCTTGTGGAAAGAAAGAGGGCCTTAGTTTCATCCTAGGCTGTGACTGCTTATGTTAGTTAGGGTCAGGCCAGATAGTTGATTCATCTTTTATAGAGCCAAGAACTCTCCAGAGGTAGAAAACAGGAGGGCAGTGTATTTAAGATGAAAGGAGAAGGAAGAATCCAGCCTAGGAAGAAAGGCAGCCTGGGACCACATCCTGACCCCAATCTTGTCTCAGGGCCGGGTTCAACCTCAGGTCTTCCTTTTCCTTCAGTTGGTTGAGAGAGGAGAGAAGACCAGAAATGGGTGAAAAAGAAGGGAAGCCTTTCATCTGTCCCTTGCAAAAAGGGACTCTCTTACCATGTCCAGTTAAGACTCTCCTTCTAGAAAATGGGCATGGAGGTGCTGATTGGAGCAGAATCCATTTCTCAGATACCAGCTCACCATCAGCATCTGGGTGGAGGGAGGCGTTCATGCTGGCCAGATGTTTGTAAGGCTGTGATAGTGAAGCCAAGAACCCCTGCAGTCAGCCAATGTTCTACCCAGTCTAGGATGAGGCTGCTTTGCCCTCAGCCTGGGGAGTGCCTGGGAAAAGGCAGGTCAGATCAGAGTGGGGATGTGAGGGGACCCTTTCTAAGCCAAAGGCCCACTTCAGTTCCAGGCAAAGAGGGTCTCCCTTTCTTCTCCCCCAACAATTCCTCAGATGATTACTTCCACACCCAATTTCCTTCATGCTCACATAAGGAGCCAGGCTCAGGGTCTGCAGTTTGGGAGGAAAGCTGCCTGCTCACCCCTCCTGTTTATCCTACACACACACACACACACACACACACACACACACACACACACGCCTGCAAGATTTCCACTCTTCACTGACTGTATCAGCCCAGCCTCATCTCCTTCCACGGCAGGGCCCTTGGAACCCAGCGCTGAGCTGGTGCTACTCTAAAAATAACTGTGTCCGATGTGATGAATGGGAAGGCATTTGCTCTCCTTTTCCTGCCTCGCGTCGGGGCCTGAATCATGTTGGGAAATGACATTCTGTTAACACAAGCACTTTTGCTTCCTCCTGTGCTCTCTCACCATCCGGTGGGGGCCCTGGCCGGGACTGGCTTTCAATTTTTAAAGCCCCCTGGGGGTCCATCCAATACCCCCATCCCCTGACATTAAGGAAAGTTTTAAACAAAGAGAAATGGAGAGAAGCATCCTGTGCTTCCCTGGGGGCATGCTAAGGACTTGAGGAGGCACAGGTGGCACAGATACGACCCCACCCCTACTTCACTAGGAAAAGCTGAGCTGACTGGACATCCAGACCAGGAATGTCTCTCGAGGCCAGGAACCAGCCTCAGCTCTGCACTGGGCTCTGGGCAGCCACTTGATGAATGACTGCAGAGTGGGAAATGGGAGGGACCCAGCCAGATAACGACTCCCTGCTTCCATCTGAGAGCGGCTCTGATACCATCTGGAATCAGACTTGTGGGGGAGTGGGCCTCAGCATTTTGGGCAACATATTTTGAGGCTTCTCCTTCCAGAGAAGCAGCTGGGCTTCTCTTGACTTTGTTCTAAGTTCTGTGAAGCCAAGCATCAAACCAACTTACCTTCCCATACCCCTACGTCCCAGTCATCGTGCCTGGCTCAGAAGAAGATCTTAATAGGTGCTTTTTGGTTCGAACAGAAATAAGTAGCATCTAGAGAGTCTAGGAGGGAGAACTAGAGTCACTCAGCTTTTTAAAGAACAAAGGATGGAGTCTCTGGAATCTAGAGATTTAGTCAAGGCCCTCATGCTGGGCCTGGGGAAAGATCATTTCTTTTTTTTTTTTTTATTTTTTTATTTTTATTTTTTTTAGAGACAGGGTCTCACCATGTTGCCCAGGCTAGTTTCAAGCTCCTGGGCTCAAGCGATCCTCCTGCAACGAACTCTCAAAGTGCTGGAATTACAGGTGTGACCCACCATATCTGGCTGTAAGATCATTTCTTAAAGCCCTTCCTCCAGCCTTGACTCTATCCCAACTCACAGGCCACTTGGGAACCCATGACTCTCTTCTCTGGAGCAAGGATTTGGCAGCTTATCACCCTCAGACAGAAACCAGCTCCTCCTGTGAAGCCTTACTTCTCATCCCTAAGACTCATTTCTGGGTTTTGTCTTGGATTTGTATGGGATCTTGGTTTAATGGAACCTGTTTTAAACATCCTTTTGGGCCCCCTATTGATCCTCTTAACCTTTAACCTATTCTCAAAGTGACAAAAACTTTTGGCTTAAGCAGTAAACCCATAATAAATCAGAACTCTAGGGAATCCATGTTTCACAGTTTCAAGAGAGTTCCATTGTTGGACTGGGGCAGAATATAACCAGCACCCATGCATGATCATCACTCCCATCTGTGTGTCTTCAAATGTGTAGGGACCCCGGACCAGGTCTTAGTGGCTGCTTGCAAGCTATATTATCCAGCTCTCCAACATGTCTCCCCACTCTTTTGGCACCCAATCACACACATGCCTACCCTGAGAGAAGATGGGGAGCATGTGGGCCTGAGAACAAAAGTCTACCCTCTCAAGGTAGCCAGGACAGGCTTCTCAGCTGTCAGCGAGTGATGGCAGCAGACAGGCTCACTATAGCTGGCAAAGGCCGATGCATACTCATGAACCTAGGCGACACAGATATGCAACGACTGGAGAAGACACAGGTTCATGTAAGTAAGAGGCTGAGATTGGGGAATCTCTAAGGGCACAGACTCAGGCAGATACCACAGGAGACTCAGATTCCAAAAATGGGGGCACAGAGAAGCATCAGCCCAGTGACTCACACCCTGCAGGTGCCGGTCATTGATGAAGAAGTGGAAGGAATTTGGGAAGGAGGCATTGGCTCGCCAGATCTTGTCGTGACCATAGGTATCTTCATTGGCAAAATGAGGAGGCAGGGTTGATCTCTGAATCTGTGATGCTGGCATACTTTTGTACTTAAAATTGGAGGAATCAGGCAATAGGAGGAAGAGAACAGCCTCTGTGGTGAGACGGCCAAATGGTTCCTAAAGAGAAGGTTTCCTTCTGCCTTTTCAATTTCTTGAATCTTTCTCCATAATCCCTTGTAACAAATCAAAGTGCTCTTTCTTAGAAGGCCTGGACTCCATCTTGGTGGTTAGCACCTCCTTTAATTTCTGCCGCACACCTTGTCAGCTCTCCCTCCTTCCCTCTCGTCCTCTCCTAGTTGCCCTTAGGTGCGGCTTTTTCCCTCATGACATCTCTGACTGCTGAGCAAGTGGGACCCTCCTCTCTGGGTTCCCCAGGCTTCAACAGAGGTCAGATTGGACTTGACTTCAGCAGGTCCTTTGACCACCTGAGCAATGTCCTTTCCCATTCTCCCACTCACAGACATTTCTTCAGAGGTGTGTCCCTAGTTTTGGGTATCCCTTCTCCCAAGGCAGCTCCCCTGAAGATCTCTGTGTTCTTGCCTGCTCCCCAAATTTCTTTTGTGGCCACTCCCTGAAGGCCTGTCCTGAATCAACTCGTGCTCATTTTGTCCTTCCCAATATTTGTTGTTTGGACACACAACTCTGCATCTCTGCTTTCTTGGTCTTGCCCCTTCTCCAAGACTTTCATTTTCTGTTTTTACTCTAGCTCTCAGAGTGATTGCCAGGGCTAAGCCTAGAAAGATGCCACTGAAGAGAAAAAGATCTTGCAGACTGGAACTTCCCTACCTCTACCCCACCCCCAGTTATCTCTATTGAGAAATGGCTACCAGGCAATCTCCAAGAGTCTGGGGAACTTTACAGCTGGTAGATTTCAGGGGACTACTCTGGATGTTTCTAGAGTGGAGCCAAAGCTCATCTTCAGGATATTTATATGGTGACCAGACATCTCCAGTGCTGGCTGATGCCGGGCCTTTGCATGAAGTGCTTACTTCTGCTAAATTCTGTTTGTAGGAGCCTCCTCCTTGCAGAGGTTGTCACTCCCTTGCTGAGGGTTAACTGCTTAGGAAGCTTTTGATCTGCATGTGAAAGAGCAACCAAAGTCGATCCAGCAGGCAGCCCAGTTTGCTAGGTTTCTCCTTTTCTTCTCTGTCTCTAGATGACATCCAAATAGCCCTGTTCTGATAAGTGCCAGAGAGTAACTATTCTAAAATTAAAGGGCAAGGATGTCTTTTCAAAGAAACATTTTTTAAAAAAACTTGGGCTCTGCAATTTAGCCTTTCCCTCAGTGAGGTAGGCTTCCAGGGTGGCTGGTTTCACTGCTGTAAAGATAAATGGGAGGCTAAGCGGGGGTGCGCGCACCTCCTAGGGCCATGGCTGGGGACTTGACAAGTCATTTATTCCAGGGCATAGCCTGGCTTCTCGCCAGCCTCCAGTGTAATCTCAGCCAAAGAGAAACCTGAAGTGGACGACCCCCAGCGTGGGTCCTCTGCTTCCCAGCCAGCACCTCCCGGCATCTGGTGGATGTGCACAATTTGTAATACTTTTGAGGATAATGACTTGGTCTCATGGAAAAAGGAGAATTGGTCCAAGATAATGTCTGGTAAGCCTTGACATTCCACCCTGAAGCGATCCTACACTCGTGTAGAATCACCGAACAGCTGCATGATCATATTACAGAATCTTCCTCAACAGCCAGCTTGTCATTGAATTTCCCCAAATTCCAGCTTTTCTCAAACAAAAGGAGCCCTGATGTGGGAGGAGCTGGAGTCAGCCAGATGGAAGAGAAGTGCAGATTGCCAAGGCTGGGAGCACCCTTTGAATGTTTTGGTCCAATCCCTCTCATTTTGTATGTGAAAAAACTGAGATCCAAAGAAAAGGGGAGAGAATTTCCCAAGGTAACCCAGTGGAAGAGCTGGGTCAAGAGGGTGGGACTCTTGAACCACAGGACCCCAGGCCAAGGTGCCCACTCGCCTCTTGGGGTTGCACAGGCCTCCCTGACCCCATTCTCAGAGAAGCCGGGGGAGTGAGGTTCTTGGCCAGAGGAAAAGTGATGGAATCGCTTTAGGGAAAAGAAACAAAGCTGTATTGTTGGAGGATCCTGAGTCTCCCGAGTCTGCCAGGAGGAGAAATCTTGCTGTTTTAGAGGGAAAATGAGGAGGAGGTGGTGACAAAGTCCAGCTTTTATGAAGCCATAAATACAAAGTTAAACAACATGAAGCAAGTTGCCTGGATCCACAACACAGGTAAACTTGTATCATTGGAATCTTTTTGGAGGACCAAACAGAAAAGAGCAAATAATAGTAGCCATTCGACAGCAAGCCTTAAGCACCTACTTAGGGTAAGATATTGTACTATTGTGCTAGGTGCTATTGGGGATAGAGGACAAAGTGTGGGCAGAGAGTACTGTTCCAAGCGCCAATCTGGTGCCTGTCAGTGGCAATATTTTTAGAGGCACACACACACATACACACACACACATACACGTGTGTCAAGGAATGAAGTATTTCATAAAGCTGAATTCATTTGGTTTATTCCTAAGTCATTTTCTATCTTTTTGGGCTGTTATTAATACAACTTTCTCAATTTTTAACAGTATCCTCTGAATAAAATGTTGGCAACTCTCCTGAGTGTTTTTGAAACTGTATTGGTTGATGAAATCCAAAAGTCTGGCAACTACAGATGTGGTTGAAAGGACCTAGGCTCTAGGGATAGAGAGAGATGGGTTCAGATCTAGAGTCAGTCATTTATTAATTATCTGCCTCGGGAACATTTCTTAACACTCAGAGTTCAAGTTTCCTACCTGTGATACAAAAGTCCCCAGAACAGTGAGGCCTTCCTGTGGAAGTACTCACAACCGTTATTCCCCATCTCTTACAAATTTTGTGTGTGTGTTTGTGTGTGTACACGTGTGCACCCGCATTGTACTAGGAGCTGTGTGGGAAACAGGCAGGCTTTAATAGCTTTTACTCTCACGGAGCTGAAAATGTTGCCAGCGAGACAGTCCACCTCACCAGAAATCATGAGAGAGAGGCAGAAAGTCTAGCATATCTTTCTTCTCCCCCAGAACAATTTCTTTGGTTTGGTAACAGTGACAGGAATTTTCAGAGATTGCTTTCCACAGTTCACATTATATTGTTTTTCCATGGCTGGTTTTAGTTTATACTAAGGCTCCCTCAAAGCTCATAAAGTTCCCTTTAAAACATCATAAAATTTCACCTGTGTATATTTATTGCCCACAGGATGTGAGCTATGTCCGTTTGGTTTTGATAGATTTACCATTATTAAACCTGGACTCCTACTTCCCACCAGCCTTATGAAGATGGCTGCCTCCTCACTTAGCGTAGTGGGCAATCCTCTCTGTCCTCCCGTGAGGAAATATTTCAGTTCCCTGGAAATAAGCTCAGCCAGTGGGTAATGATTCTTATTCCCAGGCTCCTGAGGTTCAGGAGTTTGCTCCAGCTCTGGGCAATTGATATGGTCCATAAAAGTTACTCCAACTCACTCTAGCCTCCCAGACTCCTCCCAGATGCCATTCCCAGGAATCCATCCACGAATATTTGTTGACCTCCACAGTCAGAGGTATCTGAGATATTACAAGGATGTTAAAGATGTTCCTGCCATAGTCAAGGGAAATTCTCAAGTGTATAAAAACAATTCAAAGTAATTTCTTCTATTGACCCCAAACTCATCTCCCAGGGACATTTGCCCACTGGCCCTAGTCCTGTATGACGATCCTACAAATATTTGCAGAAAGGCATCATGTTTCTCCTTTAACCTTCTCTTTTCCGGGCCAAATATTAATACCACCACTCCATTGAATCTGCTTTAAGGCCCTGGTTTCCAGACTGCTTCCTGTCCTGGTTGGTACCCTCTGGGGTTCCCATTAGAGCATGTGTCTGAATCACACTGGAGTCAAGAAGAATCTGTAGGGATGGATCCCAGTGTGCCTGGCTGAAGATCCTTGTTCCCAGGATAAAGAATGAACCTGGCTGTGCAGAGCACTTCAGAGGATGTCAGCAAGTGCCCAAAGTTCACAGCAAGTTCAGACCCTGGTCAATTAAAGAACAGCTCTGGGAAGTCCAAACAGGCAGATAGAGTACCTTGATCAGAGAATCCACAGCAATTTAGGAGTGTAGGCTGCAGAGTCAGAATAAAGGAAAAGTACAGAGATACAAGCTGGGATAATGTAGAAAGAGAAGGAAGTCACCTGCAACTAGATGTAACCCAAGTGCCTAAGCCTCGCGCCTAGAGGATACAGAGTCCTGGGTCTGAATGACACGTGGGAGGCTCTGGGAGGAAGCTGGAGGAGCAGTCTAGGTGAAGAATTGTTGTTTAACCCTAAGGTTTAGCAGAAGGTGAAGCCAAAGATTCTGGCCTACTCCTTGTCTGTATTATCAGGATTCCTTTGCACGAAAGTGCAGACATCCAACTCATACTGTCTTATGCACAAAGGAAATCTATTTGTTCATACAACTCCAAGGTACTTGTACTGAGGGTAGCTCCTGCTTCAGGAACTGTTGGACTCAGGTGATTCTCTATCTGTCAGCTCCAAGTTGGTGTTCCTTTCAGGCAGGTGTTTCTGAGTGGTAGATTCTGCAGCTTGTGTTAGCTTCTTCTCAGATTCAAACTCAACTGAAAATGAGCCTCTGTTTCCTAAAAATTCTAAAATAGAGTGCCAGAATTGGAATTGGATCATGTGCACATTTCTGGAGCTTGGAGGTGGAGGTCTAACCTTGTAATGCAGAGAATGATGGAGAAGCAATTTCCCCGAGGGAAATGGGGCTGGATCCTGGTGAAGCACAGATGATAGATGTCTACGCGATGCCTCAGTCCAGATTAGCTCTGGAGCTGGGGTACTTGGCTTCAGGCTGGGGCAGTGGAAAGAGCTGGCAGTTGCAATGAGCTGAGGGTGTCTGCCAGCTGGAAGGCCTCTTTTTTGGTCAACATTTAGCTTAGCACTTCAGACATGGTCCAAGCAGCAAGGGGCACAAAGGGACCGCATCTCCACATTGCAGGCCCTGGGCTTTAAGGAAAACCCAAGCGTGGATTGTAGATGTCCCTCTGCATTCTCAATGCTCCTCCCGGGGGTATGCTACACTCAGGAACTTGCTTTAGCTCTGTCCCTTTTCAATATCAGGTACATTTTGCAGGGTGAAAAAAGAACATTTAAAGCAGTCTTGCTTCTCCTCTTCTTGATCTTCCTCTGGAAGTAATCATAACAAAGCCTCATCATAGTTCTAAAATTCAAGGTTTGGCTCAGCTTGGTAAGCCTGGGTTTGACTCGGCCACAAATGTCATCCCCAAACTCAGCTCAGCTGTGGATCCCCACTGAGTTGTTCTTCCCCTCATCTTAATCTCAGCACTCTCTTGTGAAGGCTTTGTGGGAGAGGGGCACTTCTCTGAGTAGGCGCTTCTTGGAAAGCTGGAGCGACTCCATTTTTTCCTGGGGCGTTCTTGTTTCTTCTGTTTGGACAAGAAGAATCTGTCCTTCACTGTCCTCCCTTTCAACGCACCTCCTGACAAAGTAAAGATGGAGGTGACAAATCGTATTTGGGTCACGTTCCTAGGTCTCCTCCTCTTGGCTACCCCTAGGCTAAGGAGTCTGGAAACCGTCAAATGATTCAGAATGAGCTGAATGGGTTCTTCATTCTTCACATTTGATGCCAGGGAGCAGAGCAGTGGCTGATGCAAGAATTGAACACAGCAGGAGTTGAGCTTGAAGAAAAAAAAAAAAAAGATAGGAAGAAACCGGCCATAGCTAAGGACTCCTACAAAAAGTATTTACAAAAAGCACTCAGTGGGAACCCATGCATGGCTGTAGATATTTGGTTGCTGCTGGAGGCCAGGTAGAGCCGGACTCTGCCCACAGCATGTGCTCATTTGATACTTACAGGATTCCCTCTCTGTTCCTAGGACCTATTCCTGTCCAGGGCCGTTGAAAAGGAGTAATGAGGTTGGGCAATTGGGGAAGTTAGGATAGGCTCAGCAACATCTTGGGAGGATGAATAAATGTCACTTAATCACATCCACAGGTGACAAGCAGGCAGCCATGGGGAAAAGGCACTCATAGAACAGTGACTTGTACCATGCTGTTCTTCAGCATCTTCTGCTGGCTGTGCGTGCAGGGTGATGATGGCAGCCTACAGGTATGCCTTCGGGAGCAGGCAGCCTCCTGTCAATGGAGAAGGCTCACTGGGTCACTGTTGACTCCATTTTTCTTCATGAATCCTCCAGGCCTTGCCCCGCTACCCCCCACCTAACATCCCTTCAGTCCACTGATCTTCTCCAGGATCCTGCCTTATTCCACTCCCACCCAGTTTTAAACCTGGGGGACCATTATCTGGTTTCTCTGGGTGTGGGTGCTAAAGTCGGGTGGTCTAGTCTTCCCCCACGCTCCTCCCAGTCAATCTTGAGCATAAACTCTCTGTCTTGTTTTCTTCAGGGTGGCTCCTTTGGATTGTCAAGAGCCTTTTCTTCTGTCAACAAAACGCTCCTTGCATAAATTAAAAAAAAAAAAATTGGTCTTCAAAATTTTTGAATTTGGAATTTGGAAATGAACAAAAAAAATTGACTTTTTTCTCTTTGAAGTACCCTTTGAACAATTTTTAAATTTTGTATAAGTAAAATAACTTGTGGGGGTACAGTGCAGTTTTGAGACCTGGAGATGTTGTGTAGTGGTGAAGCCTCAGCTTTTAGGATAGCCATCACTCAAATTACCTGTAAGTAATTTCTCATCTCTCACCCTGCTCTCATCCTTCCACCCGCCTGAGTGTCCAATGTCTATTGTTTGAACAATCTTAATTCCCCCCACCCCTGCAAATGGCACAGATGTTTTGAAGGCAATAATTAAGACTGAGGAATTGTAAAAAAGAAAAGCACAAACGTTGATATCTCAATATGTGATTATATTTCATTCTCATTGGTTCTTTGTGTGGCCAAATAATTTGGGAGCAGAAAACTGATATCTACAAATAATCTTTCTGTTTTATATATACTTTTATACATATTATATTATTTATAATATATATTATATATAATTTATGGGTTATATTATATATAAATGTATATTATATAATATAATGTATTATAATATATAATTTATATATTATATTATATATATTTTTATATATTATATAATAATGCGATTGAGATTTTTTTATATACCACTCAATTCGCTTGTTTAAAGTGTATGAAACAGTGGTTTTTATCCTCTTCATAGAATTGCCACAGTCTGTCCATACAAGTGGTTCTTTTGGAAAGTAGACACTGGAGCAATGGTGATGGATTTTGTTTTTGTTTTTGTTTTGAATTCTACAAAAAGTCCAATTCACACATGCTAAACTGCCCAGTGTAAAATGGAAAATGGAAGCACCAGGGTGTTTCCAGGGCACCAGCACCACCTTTCCACCTTGTTTAGGGAAGAGAGAGCTTCCGTTCATCAATGAGCCCAGCCCTTGACATAGATTGCATTATGTAATCTTTCTAAGATGATTCACCCTACAGGGAGAATATGATCCTCATTTTTCAGATGAGGTAACTGGGGTGATTCAAAGTCACCCAGCTAGTAAGTGGCAGAGTTGGAGATTTTAATGCAAGGCTGTGTGAATCTGAGGCCATTCCATCCAAAGCTCTTTCTCCTGCCTTAGACTGCCTCTGAGGACAAAATATAGCATGGGAGTGTTTTAGAAAAGTTTCTCTGCTTTCGCTGGCTTGAACTTCTCTGCTATTCTGAGAGCCCCGCAGTGGAAATCTATGCCAGCTGGGTGTTTTCAAAATGTTGTTTGAAATGAATTGTTTGTCTGAGACGGCCATCAGTTGAGACTCCAGGGATATGGAGAAGGCTTTTGTCATGGGCCTCCTCCAAAAGGAGCAGATGACATGGCCTAGTGTCTTGAGCCCAGATCATGAGACTCTGGAGAATGAATTCCTCTAGAGTCATCCTGGTACTGCCTCAGTCCTGGTGACCCAGTAACCTGAGCAGAGGGGCAGTCTCCCAGGATTTGACCCTGGGACATCCTCATCCTGCATGGACCAGAGCCAGGTGGAGACAGGCCTTCCCCCCAGTTAGCCCTCTGCCCTTGACCTCTCTTCTTCTTTTGACTTCTTGAACCCTTTTATGTATTTTCTTATGTCTTCCTACCTCCTTCTTTGGACTTGCTCTTGTTTTTTTTTTTTTTTTTCTGTTCCAATAAAACCCTCACGGCAAAGATTGAAGTGACTGACAATACCTAGTGCTGGTAAGTGGATGGGAAAACAGTCTCATTTATCATTGGTGGGAATTTAAAATGGTGCACCCTACTTGGAAGGCAATTAGTAATATCTGTGAAAAGCTTTTGGACTCAGCCGTTTCAGTTCATGAAATTAATACTATGGAAATACTTGCACAAAGATATATGTACAAAGACCTCTTTTTGAGACAGGGTCTCATCTATTGCCCAGGCTGGAGCTCAGTGGTGCAACCACAACTCACTGCAGCCTCAACCTCCTGGGCTCAAGCAGTCCTCCCACATCAGCCTCCCGAGAGGCTGAGAATACAGGTGTGTGCCATCATTCCTGGCTAATTTTTTATTTTTTGTAGAGATGAGGCTCACTATATTGCCCAGACTGGTCTCAAATAATCCTGTCCTCAAGTGATTCTACTGCCTCAGCCTCAAGCAATCCTCCCACTTCTGCCTCCCAGAGTGCTGAGATTACAGGCAGGAGCCATCGCACCCAGCCTGTGAGAGCTTTCTTTGTAAATCGGAAACCATCTAAACATCCACAGTAAGGAACTAGTTATGTAAACTGGTACATTGATATAAAGATACTTTGCAGCCACGAAAACGGCAGTGCTCTGTATATTTTCATAGAGACAACCAAAGTTATTTATACATAAGCGGTTGAGAATACCATGCACATTATAATAGTTAATATTTATTAGCAACTTACCATGCATCAGGCATTTGTACTTTCATTTGTTGTCTTATTTAATTATCAAAGCAACCATATGAATATTATTATTGTTCCCATTTTCAGACAACTCTTTACAAAAAATTTACAGATCTTGTCCCAATGCTACACAGTTAATTAGTAGCCAAGCCAATATGAGAACATGGATCTGTCTCACTTCTAAGCTTTCCAGTGTAATCACATTTTTGTAGACAATATGATGATAATATGCATGGATGTTAGCACAAGTGTTAAGAAAACAAAAATTTCCTTGGCAAACTGCCGTTTATCCTCCTAGATTCCTTGGGTGTTTACTTTCTCTCCTTCCATTTCAGGCAGAGTCAGTCACCCCCTCTGAGGTGCTTCCAGAGCCTCTTGTGAATATCCCAAATACCCCTCACCAACCTCCATCTTAAACATTAGCTTACGTGTTTGTCACCACTATTATTACGCTCTGTCCTCACCAGCTAGGTCTGGCTTATTTGGTTTTATAACCCCAGTGCCTGGCACAAAATAGATGGCCTCAGAACACTCATTGAAATCCTTAAAGGAGTTTAATACTCATTGAGCCAAGGGTCAGAGGTCAGGTTCAAGGTCAATATATCAGGGCAGATGGCCACTGCTGCTATTCTGGGGAAAGGGCCTGCTGGGCAGACCAGGCAGCTAATCTCAGTTGCTTTTAGCATCACTGGAGCAGAGTTCTGAGCCCCAAAAGAAGCCTTCCGCAGGGCCAGAGCAGACAGACTGGGAAGCTAGTGAACCTAAAGCTTTAGGACCCATGAAGGTCCTGTATTAATCTTGCATTTGTAATTTTGCAAACTTTATGTGAGAGAGGGCTTCCCCAGGCCTGATATGGTGGCTTATTCCTGTAATCTCAGCACTTTGGGAGGCCGAGGCAGGCGGGTCACTTGAGCCCAGGAGTTTGAGACCAGACTGGGCAACATGGCAAAACTCTGTTTCTACAAAACATTCAAAAATAGCCGGTGTGGTGCTGTGCACCTGTAGTCCCAACTACCTGGGAGGCTGATCACCTAAGTCTGGGAGTTCAAGGCTCCAGTGAGCTGTGATCGCACCACTGCACTCCAGCCTGGGTGACAGAGTGAGACCCTATCTCAAAAAATAAAAAAATAAAAAAAAGAGAGGGCTCTCCCATAGGAGGTAAGTTTCAAACTCCACAAAACCTGTGTCACTGCCCCGTCCAGAACTTCTCTATCCCAGTCACAACTTCTCCCTCCTTGTTTCCTAAGGTGATCTTTTCTTAAACGTCCCCTTAAATGTCACGTGTCAGGGTTCTGAGTGTCCCTGTGATCAATCACCTTGTCATCACTTGCACTTCAATGCAAATCAATTGCAAATCAATTGCATTGAACATTGCAAATCAGTGTTCCCCAGGAAGGTAGCTTGAGTGTCTTGGGCCTCTAGGGTGTTGAAATATTTTGGGAAGCCCAGGAGAAGCAGCATATATATCTGTTATCAGACCTCAAGGGTCAACTGAAATGTCAACTGGTGTTGCACCAGGCTGCAATTGAACCTTCTCATGTGGGAACACTAGGCGCTTCGAGCTCATCAGAAGCCTGACTGGCAAATGCATTCATCTGTGATTAATTAGAACACGGAGAAACAATGCCATCTTAATAGGGTCATTAAAAATAAGTCATTTAATTGCTTGGAGACCAAATCTTTCAAAAGCAAATATAGGGGCCCTTGGAAATAAAAATATTGGGGATTCCTCCTATAAACCTTTGCTCTGTAGATTGATTACCCTCTCCAAAAGCAGAGCCGATCCTAAGGCCACAAGGGAGTGGCTCTGAGCACATGAGGTGAGATTCAGTAGAAAACACATCCACTCATAGCAGCTCTGTCCCTCTGGGTTCAGGGCTCCTGGAAGCCTCTCTTGGAGGGAGACAAATGTTTTTCATTTAAGAAGTGATCATTGGCTGGGCGTGGTGGCTCACACCTGTAATCCCAGCACTTTGGGAGGCCGAGGTTGCTGGATCACCTGAGTTCAGGAGTTCAAGACCAGCCTGACCAACATGGCGAAACCCCGTCTCTACTAAAAATACAAAATTAGCCAGGCGTAGTGGCAGGCGCCTGTAATCCCAGCTACTCGGGAGGCTGAGGCAGGAGAATCGCTTGAACCTGGGAGGTGGAGGTTGCAGTCAGCCAAGATTGTGCCATTGCACTCCAGCCTGGGCAACAAGAGCAAAACTCCGTCTCAAAAAAACAAAACAAAACAAAAAAGAAGTGATTATTTAGTGACTCCTGCACAACCTCTTTCTGCAGCCCCTGGACTCTGATTACACAGCCTGCCCCACGAGGTGGGAGGAGAAGCTGGCATGTGGCATGTGGTTTAAACGTAGTTGATCTTTTTGAAAAATCCCACATTTTAGCCAGTCTCTCAGCTCCACATGATCTATTCTCAGAAAATGCTAACCGGCCAGAAGGAAAGAGCAAGAGAAGAAAAGGAAGGAGGCAAAGAGTAAAAGAGGAGAAAGAAAAGAGTGACAATGAAAAGCAAGTAAGAAAAGTGAAGAGAGGAAAGAGAAAGATGGAAGAAGAGCGAGCTGGATGGCAAAAGGGAGAGAGTGTGAGTAGCGACCCTGAAAAACAACAGTCTGTGATGAGATATGGCCATAGTACGAATGGTGTATTTTAGAAACCTTCAGGAAAGAAAAACAGGTACTTTTCCCACAAATGTAATAAAGACTCCTCCTTAGCCCGGGTGTCCTACGCTCCTCCCTGAGTCCCAGCGCAGCATCCCTTCCTTCCCAGAACCCACTTCACCAACATATGCTGTTAGTTTCTGCCACCTAATATGGGGAGTCCTATGAGGTAATGGGTCTTTCAGGATCGTGATGGGATCTTGCAAACCCAAAACAACACATAGTGGGAGAATTGCTCAAGTAATTCCTGACATAGCACCACCTGGGGTAATCACAGGCCAGCTGCTGAACGGCTGTGCCCAAGCACTCAGGGCCAGAGGTAGAGTGGAGCTGCGATTCAAAATAAGGAGGAGCCTCCCAGGCAACGAGAGCGGCAGCAAAGCCCAGCACAGCTTCAGTCCAGGCTCTTGCACTGGCTTTCCTTTGTCTTTCTGGTTTTATTATAAATATACTCATATAAAAATAAGTACCACTCCACTTTTGTATAACACTTTATAATTTAAGCATTTCCCGTGCATTCTATCGTTTGATCCCTTTGCACTTAAAATTGTTTAAAAATTAGCTACATGTTCAATGTTTTTATAATTTTCCTCACTCAACCCACATATTTTCCACAAACATTACTGGTCTATCACTTCCCTATACCTGCAACACATGCAACAACAACAAAGAATCTTTTCACCTTTTTTCTCTGTCTTTTCTAAAGCAGGCTTTCCTCCTCTGGCCAGTTCTCATGACACTGTAATTGCAGGTTTCTGCAATTTTGCTTTCCTGTCTACATCTCCAGGATTGTAATCTTTTGTTCCCTTTTCCACTTACCTCTGACAAAAGGTTTGATCTTTGCACCTGTGGCTTGACTCTTTACCTCCTCTTTCCACATTAGGTTAGCCAACTGTCACCAGGTTCTTTCAGGACCAGAGGACAATTAGAGGCACAAAGATAAAGTGTTGGCTAATCACCTCTGCCTCATGTTCCACTCACTGCAGCTGCTTTTCTGCTCCTCGATATTATCATTATTCTTACTTTGGAGAAAGAGTCTTGCTCTATTGCCCAGGCTGGAGTGTGATGCATGACTTCAGCTCACTGCAACCCCACCTCCTGGGTTCAAGTGATTCTCCTGCCTCAGCCTCCCCAGTAGCTGGGATTACAGGCGTGCACCACCACACTTGGCTAATTTTTGTATTGTTAGTAGAGACAGGGTTTCACCATGTTTAGATTGGTCTTGAACTCCTGACCTCAGGTGATCCATCTTCCTAAGCCTCCCAAAGTGCTGGGATTATAGGCGTGAGCAACCGCGCCCAGCCTATTATTATTATTATTATTTGAGATGGAGTCTCGCTCGGTTACCTAGGCTGGAGTGCGGTGGCATGGTCTTGGCTCACTGCGACCTCTGCCTCCTGGGTTCAAGTGATTCTCTCACCTCAGCCTCCTGAGTAGCTGGGATTGCAGGCATGCACCACCACGCCCGCCCAACTAACTATTTTGTATTTTTAGTAGAGATGGAGTTTCACCATGTTGGCCAGGATGGTCTGAAACTTCTGACCTCAAGTCATCCACCTGCCTCGGCCTCCCAAAGTGCTAGGATTACAGGTGTGAGCTACCATGCCCGGCTCAATATTATGTTGTCTTGAATTCAGCTCTTTAATTATTAGCTGGGAAATCTTAGGGAAGTTATTTAATCTCTTTGAGCTTCAGTTCCCTGATTCCCAGTAAAATCAGGATACTAGTAGATCCGAAAGTAGGCTTGTGGTAAGACTTAAAGAGATAGTGATGCATAGAGACTTGTGCCTGGTATGGGGTGGGTGCCTATCAATGTCAGTTCCTAATCTCTTCAATGCACTTTCACATCTTTCTAACTAACTAGGAACACAGCATTATTGGAAAACCACTTGGCTGTGAAATCACTAGACCTATATAATTCCAGCTTTTGCCTCTTTGGACTAGACCTTCATTCCAGTCTCAAGTAGCACATGCATAAAATGGGGATAATAAACATCTGTATTCACCCACCAAGATGGTTGTAAGGATCAAATGGAAGATGTGTAAAAATGCCTCTGAAATTCAAAGGTGACATTCTGACACAATTCTTAGTGATAAGACATTCTCTGGGACAGTACTGGGTTGACCCTCTTCCTTTTTATTTTCCTTTTGCTTTGTAAGGAGCCTTTTAAGATTTTTGGTAACATTAAAATAAACATATTATAAAATGTATTATCTTAACCTTGTAAGTGTACAGTTCAGTAGTATTAAGTATATCCACATTGTTGTGCAATCTTTGGAACTTTTTCCATCTTGAAAAACTTAAGAGGATTTAAAAACCTCCTTCTCTCTAGAACACCAGCATCTACTGTGTAAGGCTTCACAATATTCCCTTTTGAGATTTCCTTCTTAAGCCCTCTGAGGCAAAGGTGGGTCATTGAGCCTCTATTGAGGCAGCCAGCCCAGGAATATTTTAAAGTTAAATCCTGGAGATGGGCCCATGGGTTTCCCCTGTGCCATCTGGAACCTGTTTTCTCCTCAGTGAAACTCTCCCTTCCTGATACCTTTGCAATGGTAGAGTCAGAATTTGGCTTCCAGCGGTACCTACTTTTCTTTCCACTATACAAGCAAGTCATCACAACCCTAAGATGGCTTAAATGGCTCATGCTGGCCCTCTTTCTGTTCCTTCTTTAGCAGGAAAAAGGGCATCCTCCTGGGGAACAGCCTCTCTCTCAGGCCGAACTCATCCTCCTTTTTGGGGCCATAGCACCACTAGAAGGACCTTGACTATATTCTATAAAAGAAAACCTCTGCCAGCAAATGTTGCTTCAAATGTCTTGTTTTCTCGGATTAATTCTAAATGACCCTTTAAAAATATTTCCTTTCTTTTTAGCTTTTTACTTCTTTCTACCTCTTTTTCGAAGTGAACTCCTGGGCTCTTAGAATACAACTCCTGTTTTGTTAGAGAAACTTTATCACGGGATAGTAACGGCAGATGCTCAGCAATCGAATGATCTGAGCTTGGATTCTGTATGACTTTGGGTAAAGTTACTCTCTGGGCCTCAATTTTCTAATCTTTAGAATAGGTATAAGAATATCAACCATTTTTGCCACGGAGAATTTTTGTGAGGATATAGCAACAAAGAATAAAGGGCAAGGAATTTCCTCCCAGAAAGCAGACCTAGAGCCTGCCTGCCAGATTGGTTGGCTAGGAATTTTACTTTACTGCCAGGGCAGAAACTTCTCTTTTTTTGTGACCAGTAGGATTTGTTAGGTCTGTGGTCCAATGTGCATTTCCCATTTTTTCTTTTTTTTGAGTTGAGTTGGAGTTTTTATGTGGTTTTCTGGTTTCTCTCTCACCTTTGTGTATCAGAGGCATTAGGGCAGGTAAGCTGTCTTTTCAACTTATGGACCATGGTCATGAGAAGCGCATGCAGACCTGAGAGGGAGTTCGCACAGTAGCCAGTGATCCTGGACTTCGGATGGGACAAGACTTTGGTTTTCTTCATCGGTGATGACAGCATGAGAATACACACAGGAATAGGAATGCCCATGGATGCCTAGGAGTCAGAAGAACAACTGTGGGGCAGATAACATTCAATAGCCCATCAATATCCATTCTCCTCTTGTGCCTTTCCAATGCAGATGTGAAAGTACAGTTTTGTTTTGTTTTGAGATGGAGTTTTACTCTTGTTGCCCAAGCTGTAGTGCAATGGCACGATCTTGGCTCACTGCAACTTCTGTCTCCTGGGTTCAAGAGATTCTCCAGCCTCAGCCTCTTGAGTAGCTGGGATTACAGGCGGGCACCACCACACCTGGCTAATTTTTTGTATTTTTAGTAGAGACGGGGTTTCACCATGTGAACCAGGCTGGTCTCGTACTCCTGACCTCAGGTGATCCACCAGCCTTGGCCTTCCAAAGTGCTGGGATTACAGGCGGGAGCCACCGTGCCTGGCCTGTGAAAGTACAGTTCTAGATCTCCCAGCTTCCTGGCTGCTGGGTGTGACTGTGTCATGCAGTTCTGACCAATGAAATGCAGGTGCAAATACCCTGGGGAGTCTTAGCTTCCTGAGTAAAAGCCCAAAGACTTGTAAGGAGACAGTCCTTCACCTCTTCACCTTTTCCCTTCTTCCTGCGTTGAACATGGATGAAAGCTAGAAGTAGAGCAGCCACCTTGCAACCACGAGGCAAAAAGCAAGAAGATGAAAGCCAGCAGGCCACCCCTCCAGGGAGGGAGAGGAAGTCCTGAGTCCACAGTGGGAAGATTTAGCCATGGCTCCCACTGACTGGCTATTTCTCTTCCTGAAATGTGAACCCTCTGTTAGTTTAAGCCATGGTTGGGCTTTCTTTTATTTTGTGGTTGATTGCAATCCTAGCTTGTACAAGAGCAGGCATATTAAAATTTTAAAAATTAGTAAATTCTATCCCCTGAGAATGGGGTCCCCCAAAAGCACTTAGGTGGGTGTGCAAGAGGCGTTGGCTACTTGAGGAGTGAAACTTAGGTGATTCTGGGACTGAAATAGAAAGCAATCTTTTCAACCTGGGGCTGTGAGGTTTAGAAGAGGCTGAGAAGTTTGTCTCTTGTGCAAGAGTTCATTTGAAGACAAGCCACTCCTTGGAAGATGGTTGATGGGACTCTTTGGAGACTCAGCCCAAGACCTGAGTGTAGAACAATGGATCCGCAGAGCAGCACTGAGACTGAACCAACTCCTGAATGTACTTCAGGCAAATTTAACAAGGTGGGGTTGAAATGTATGTAATAGCAGCATACTGACTTCTCACTAGGCTCTGACAGCCACACCCGTTTAAGCCTTAGTTACCCGTTTAAACTTGAAGAGTTTCACAAGCTCTCTCTCTGTCTTTATTTTAGGTTCCATTTGAAAAGGGTCAACTGTCTTTCTCTGCACAAATAGGAAAATTATACTCATATTTTGGTAATTACTGCATTTTGAGTGTTTGAGAATGGGGTTGGATTTATTTTTCCAAAGTTGTTGCTAGTCTTTGTTTTAGGTACCATTTGAAAAGGGTCTATTGTTTTTCTCTGCATAAATAGGAAAATTCATGCTCTGAGGAGAGGCATGGTGCTGCTAATGGCCCTCTCAGGTGAGGAAGTACAGAGAGTTTCACTGAGCTGGAGCAGAGAAGTGAAAACTCAAAAGATGGGAAAGCTGCAGAGATTCTGTGTCCACCTAAGTTTTCACAAGCTCTCCCTCCTCAAGTGATTGATTTCCTTCCCAGCATCCCTGCATTGTTTTAAATTAACACCACTTCACCGTACCAGTTGATCATTGAACCATTTTTTTTTCGTACTTTGCTACATTTGTAGGAAATCATGTGGTCCAGTGGGGTCTAGAGGTCCACTGTGAGGTCTCAGCAGTAAAGTTACAGGACTGAAGAGCGTCGCCCCTTTCATCAGCCTTGTGGCACTGCTCTCTTGAGCAGCGATGTCTGCTGTGACCACCTGCGGTGGCTCTCTGGGAGGAAGACTACCTTTTGGACCTCTCTCCGCTATGTCCCATACTCGTCTTTCTTTTTGTCTTCTGTTATTAATAGCTATTATTGTTTTTCTTGATTAACCTTTGCTTTCTTTACTCATTCCATGAGTAAGGTTTGTGGAGACTTTCCTCTTTGTTCTTTGATTTTTACTATTTCTGCTCCATTTTCTTCACCTTTATAGGGGAAAAGATGCTCTGCATTGATCACTCCTGCAAAAGGGGAGAGCTATTTTTGTTATTTAAAGTCCTTGGCTTGGTGCCTCCTTTTGAGTATTTTTAATGTAGTTTTAACATGTCCTACTTCTTTGTGGCATTTTGAAAGGGGAGAGTCTCCTTTCCCCTTAATGATTCCTATTATGGTTTTAATTTCTTCCTATTTCAGTAGGAATTTGCATATTCCCTATTTGATCTTGCCAAGTTTCCAAGATTTTGAGAATTCCATTTCGATCAGGAAAGAGAATCTTGGTCATCACCCCACTCCCATGAACCATGTGTCTTTGGGTCACTTAGCTCTGTATACCTCAGTTTTTCCACTTACAGCATAAACATACTTTCCCTAAAGGCAAAGTGCTGGATAAGATAATTTCTCAAGCATCTCTACTGCTTTAACACCAGGACTCAATGATCAGAAAAGGGATGGCTTTTGTTTTGTAACAAACCTCTAGTTCATACATATCCTGTGCCTCTTAGTAGCCCATTTCTCTCTCTTCTTTTGGTAAGTTTATGTCACATTATTGGGACTAAAAAAAAGAAAAACAACCTGTGCAGCACTTCACAGTTTCAAATACTTTTCATATGCATTATCTAGATTGGTTCCTTTGCTCACACATGTAACTAGCAAGCCCTGACTCCTGCATCCTTTAAATTTGCCACATAAAATAAGATCATGCTATGCTTCCTGTCTATCACTCCAGTCCATCCCATAACATTGTATCAGGAACTCATTACAAAGTTAACATATGTAGCTTTATCTTTTTCTTTTTAATGGCTATATAATATTCAACTGTATGAATATGTATGTATATATACATATATGTATATTCAACTTTATGGATATGTGTGTATATATACATATATGTATATTCAACTCTATGGATGTGTGTATATATACATATAAGTATATTCAACTTTATAAATATGTATGTATAAATAATATATGTATATGTATGTATATATGTATATACACACATAGAATACATACGTGTATATATATACATATATGTATATTCAGCTTTATGGATATGTGTGTATGTATACATATATGTATATTCAACTTTACATATATACATATTCATAAAGGAGAATATTATATAGCCATTAAAAAGAAAAAGGTAAAACTACATGTGTTAACTTTGCAGTGGGTTCCTGATACAATGTTACAGGAGAAAGTGGAGTGACAGACAGGAAGCATAGCATGATTCATTTATTGATGATTTGTTCTCCTATGTACATATCTATATAAACATTCTCCTATGTAGATATAATCGCTCTCCTATCAATGAGATAATTAGGTTGCTTTCAGTTTTTTCTTATAAATGGTACTGCAATGAACATTCTTGCACATATATATATATATTCATGCAATTATTTCTGTAGCATATTCCCAGAGGTGGTACTGCTGGCTTCTAGGATTTGCTCACTCATAGTTTAATAGCAATGAATCCTAAATCCTTTCATCCATATGTTACTTTTCATTTTTAACACCTGTCCCTCTTCCCTATGACTACTGAATTCCTCTCTCTACCTTTAAAATATGACATTGCTCTAAAATATTTACATTCTTACTTTGATGCAGAAATTCTATTTCTGGAAATTTATCTTATAGATATAATTAAGGATAAGTACAAAGATTAGCTATCTTTATTATTAATATTAAAATAATATAAGCAGTAGTAACATTACTATCATTAAATATTATAGTATTGTGATGACACCATGTAAATCTATAAGTATATATTACTTGATAATATTATTATTCCTTAACAATGTTGTCATTATTACTATGTACCTATTATATTCCAGGCATTGTATAAAGTATTTTAAATATATTATTTTACTTAATTCTAACAATAGGTTTTAGTGTAGGTACTATTATTAAAACCCATTGCCATGGATTAGGAAACAGAGGCTTAAAGAGATTAACTTTCCCGGAGATATACAGTCAATATTTAGGAAACCTGGGGACTGAACTGAGAGACTTTGGCAGCAGAACACACAGGTTTAGCCACTGCACTAACTCCATATATATATGTAAGTATATGTAAGTGAACCCAGTTCCTTCTATGTGCATGGAAGAGTTAGGAGAGCATTTGGAAGATTGTCTTTGGGTTCACAGGTTTTTGAGAATATTTTTAATTATCTTTTGGTCTTATTTCTTCTGATTTTTTTCTATAATGATAACATGTTACTTTTTAATAATAAATTAAAGCAAAGGCTTTTAAAATAATAAGAAGGAGGTCCAATTTGACCAGTGAGTTTTTTTACATATTGCAGAAAGACTTTTTTTTTTTTTTTTTTTTTGAGACGGAGTCTCGCTCTTTCACCCAGGCTGGAGTGCAGTGGCTCGATCTCAGCTCACTGCAAGCTCCACCTCCCGGGTTCACGCCACTCTCCTGCCTCAGCCTACCGAGTAGCTGGGACTACAGGTGCCCACCACCATGCCGGGCTAATTTTTTTGTATTTTTTTAGTAGAGACGGGGTTTCACCATGTTAGCCAGGATGGTCTCGATCTCCTGACCTCATGACCCACCCACCTCGGCCTCCCAAAGTGCTGGGATTACAGGCGTGAGCCACCGAGCCTGGCCTGCAGAAAGACATTTGATTATTGAAATTGTTTTGGATTCTTCCGAAATTTATTTTACATATTTGATATTTTAGCTTGTTTCAGATTTTATCCATAAATTTACATAAAATAATCAGCTTTTGGGGAGAAAGTCATGAATATTTGCAAATTCATTCTTTTACTTTTTCCTGTTTCTCTTTCACCTTTGTTCATCTTCCCACCAACCTCCCACTGCTTTTGAAAATTCACATTCCTTTCTGGACTTTATTGCTATTTATGAGATGTTGGGCTCTGACATACCTTTGGACTATCAGCCCTGTCTCCTGACCCTGCAGAGTTCTATGGAACCCTTTTATTCCCTTGTTAGGAAGTTAATTTTAACAACTTTACATATTTAGCTAGGGCTTTACAGTTTAGAAGTGCTTTCACGTGCATAATCTTATTTGATTTCCCCAAATTTTCCTTTATAGGAAGCAGGGAGAACCCTATTAACCCCATTTTACAGAGGAGAAAACAGAGCTTTACTAAGTTTCCCTTCACCAAGGCTACACAGCTAGCAAGTGCAATGCTGAGTGCAAAACCCAGACCTCTGCATTCCAAGTCCAGTAGTCCTTCCTTCCATTCTCTCATACCACCTCTGAACAGTTATCAAAGGCCACCAGATAGAGAACAACTATTCCCCAGATCCAAAGACTTCTATCTTAAATGGGTGAGCAGGTCCTTTTAATATCCAAAATGGGACCCAGGCAGTGAAACCAGTCAAGGTAGCATTAGGTTAGAAGGCCAGCCTTTTCCCAGACATGGAGCAGGCACAGAGCTATCCGTGGTCCTGAGATCGCCTGCCCTGAGCCCGTGCTGACCACTGCAGCCAGCGCCCATCTGACTTGTTCTTTACTTGTCCACTACTGCATGACTTACTCTTTTGAATCTCACTGACTGTTCTGTCTCATGTGACTTCTCTTTTTTCCTTGGTTATTATTTCAGCGGGTTTCAGGATCAGTGGTGTCTCTTGGTCCAAAGTTAGACGTATGCTCCTAAAAACTTCTCCCTGCATGACTGCCATCCTTAAAGCAAACAGTAAACTCAGCTCCTTGAGAAATAATGACTTTCTCTATTCATCCTCAGCCTTGAAAAATGAAAACCAACCCACGTCCAGTTTTTCTTTCTAGACTTCTGCATAATTATGCACTTGTTCCCTGTGTATCTGGCTTAAGTCCTGCTTTACCAGTACTTTGTTAACATCTTTTTTCCTTCAAGTCTTTTTTTCGCCCTCTTACCTTTGCTTTCTTTGTCTCTTTCCTATTTCTTGGGCTATATTAATACATTATTTCTATTGCCACTTACCTATTTCTGAGGTTTTTTTATTCCAGCAATAGTTAACACATATGTTTCTTAGCTTTGATTTGTCTTAGTTTCTGTGGCTCAGGGTTTCTCAAAGAATGTCTCAGAGTATATACGAATCAAAATCCCTCATGGCATTTAAATTTCTGGATTCCATCTCTGAGCAGTTCTTCTGGCTTTGACTGGGGCCCTTTTCCATCTGATTTCCCTTCTTATGGACTTGGAGACTCCTGTTCCAATGAAGCATTGGCCAGCACATGAGAAAGTGGATCTGAGCTGTGCCTCTCCAAACCCTCACATTATCATTCCTATCAGCATCTATTCCTGCTCCATAGCCCTCTGCTTCCCATGTGGTTTGGGACTGTAGTATGGTTTCCTATCTAGGCCCTCCAGCTCCTCCTACCCTCCTCTTCATCTTCCACCTCAACCCTACTTTTTCTTTATTTCTCTTTTTGGATAGCCTGCTTGAATTTCTCCAGTATTTCCTATAGCTCTAGTATCTAGCTTGAATAGCCCTGGTAGTCCTATAGTATTTTCTTACTTTTCTCTTTTTTCTCATTTCTTGGGGGAAACATGTGCTTTCATCTCAGGAGGTGCCATTTATAAGGTAAAGCTGGTCTAGCTCTTATGATAAAATTGTGGGGAAAGCAAAATATGTATCATAATTTCTTTTTACAGATAAGGAAACTGAGATCTGGAAAACTTAAAGTTCAAGATCACTGACAGAGGTGGCACTACAATCCCGGTCTGAAGACTTTTATATAGCAATTTAGTTCCACAAATACTTCTTGAGTTTCTACTCTATGCAAGGCACTGAATCAGGCACTAGAGAAGCAATATGGAGAAAAACTTCCCTCTGTAGTTTTATGAAGCTTCCAGGAGTCATCAGGAAGTTAAGAGATGCCCAAATAACACAGCACCAGGAGCTGTGTTCAATGCTTCAAGCTCTAATACATTTATATATGAAATATAATGAGATCCAAGAGGAAGGAGGGAATGCCTGAATGCTTTTAACTAAGGGGTAGAGAGAGATGGCACAAAGATGAATTACTGGGCATGTGAAGTTTGAGATGGGCATCAGAAAATGTGTAAAATTTCCAGTGGAAATACACTGTATGTTTGGAGAAAACCCTAGGGATTTCAGGCTTCAGGGCTGAGATATTTGAAAAGTAAGTAGGTTTAGGAAGATAACTTGGGGCCACATCATACAAAGACTTTAATATCAAGCTAATTTGGAGGTGGGTGACATCTAAAACTCTTCTCATTACACACTATTGCCTTCACACATGCGTGGAATAAATGCAGAATCCTAAGTATCACTTTATAAATAATAGCACAAATTCAGGCACAATGGAGAATGCACCAAAATGACAAGACCAGCACAGGAACTCCAGAGCAAGGTGGTGGCAGCACTTCTGAATATCAAATGAGGAATCAACCCTCAGAGTTGCTCTGGAGAGGACAATCCTTTCTCTCATAAAGCTGACATCTTCTACTCAGGGCTTGTATTGGCTTCCCCTGAGTGTTCTACACCTGAAATATAGCATTTACAGCTGCATCTTGAGGTCTTTGTCGTGTCTTTCATGTTGTGGTAACAGTGAATAAAAATTCCCATAAATACTTTAAGCCACTTGGGCAACCAAATGGGGGAGTGTGGAGTAAGGCAACATTTAAATACAAAGCGAAGAACTGACTTTTCTAAAGGATATATTGAGCAGTGTGTGGCTAAAAATAGCCACCTGTTCCAGGTCAGATCCCAAATTGAAGAGCTCTTCAAATACCACATTCAAAAAGCATCTGTCACCAGTAGCCATGGCAACAGCCATCCCTGAACAAATGTGGAGAGATGTTTTTGGAATAGGCTGGGAAAGGAAGTGGCCATGACAGTCTCTGCAGAAGGGGTGAGCCCTTCTGCTCCCTTCCTGGTTGAAGCCTCATCTTTCTTTCCTTTGTCCCAGCCCTTCTAATTTTCTATAGTCATTGGTTCTTGTTTTCTTCAAAGGAGCAGTTTGTAGAGTTCGTTAGTGCCTATTTAACAGGCTGGACAGGGAGAAGAGATGGGAGGCAGGATCGGACATCCCACTGGCACTACAGAGATGGGATGGGAGGCCAGGCTGCTTGAGGGGGTAGGGGAAGGATGGGAACTTCTGAAGAAGGGGGTGGTGTGTGCTGTATTATTTTGCTGTTCTCATGTTTTCCTTGTCAATGATCCTCTTAAAATGTATTTGTCACTTCATGTTGGCAATATTAAATCCTGTACATCTGGGTTTTTTGTTTTGGTTTGTTTTAATTGTTATTTATTCTTTGTAAACTCCTTGAGGGCAGGGAGTCCTCTTCCTGGTTTTCCCCATAGCACTGAGAAACTCCTCCAATCTGTCGTAGTGTTGCTTGCATGACACAGCACCATGGAATCTTCTTAGGGCTCGGAATGCCTACCCAAAAGCTGTATTTAGCCTCCCACCTGTCAACTCCTGGAGTCCCCAATTTCGATAAGTGGTTGAAATGTGTTAAGTAGTTGTGTTGTCCTTGAAGACATTTGTAATCTATGAATGAGATGACTCCAAATTAATGTGCACAATAAGCTCTCTTCAGTGTATGAATAAATGTAAATGAATAAAGATGCTTGTGATGAATTTGGTGATGAGGGCGGTTATGTGAGGATTAAAGAAAAGCCAGAATCTTCTGAGTGTGTTCTCCATATGGTTTAATAAGGAAGACATCTGGCCACTGGAGAAAGAAGACTGAGAGCAGACTTCTTGTCCAGAGAGGGGTCATCTAGATTTTCTAAAGACAAAGTCAAGAATTCTTGGGCATTCTTGAGATCTTCACTAGATGAAATCTGAACACTATCTGGGTTTCTTTAGGAAGAGCTCTTCTTAAGCACATTGTTCTAGATCTTGGCTATTTCCATGGTATTCTCCTCATTTTTCTTGCTTACCTGATGAAGAAATAATCTATGTATTAAGCACCTACACCCATGTGTCCTTCACGGTGCATAAAGTCCTAGGCTTACCAGGGGCATGGGACCATTCGCTCATTCATTCATTCATTCATTCATTCAACAAATCTGTCCTGAAGGCTACTGTGTGCCAGGCATTGTGCTGCGTGCTACATAGTCTCTGTCCCATGGACCTTACATTTGGATAAGAACAGGAAATTTTTATCGTTATAATGGTCCTTGATGATGGTGATGATGATAACCATCCCAGCTACAGCGCAGGCAGTTCTGGTTAGTGCATAAGTGTATTAACTATGTTCTTTATTTTCTGTATTCTTGATGCTCTGGCATGTGGAGCCTTGCTGATCCTGGAGAGACTGTTCCTCCAGAACTAGCTAATTCCTAGATATAGCACACCTTTTATATGCAAACCAACCAATCCAGACCCCATACCTGCCAATGCCTCCTTTATGGAGCTCTCAGTTTGAGCTACTATCCCCGTGCTATAATCACCCCAGTCTTAGGAACCAGGCAACTGGGGGCAGTCCTTCCACCCTGGGACCCCATGGAAACTATTTCAACTAGCCAATCCTAAAGTTGCCTAGCTTGCTTACCCTGCCTCACCCATTCCTTCATGCAAAACTACAATAAAGCAGGCCAGGGGCAGTGGCTCACGCCTGTAATCCCAGCACTTTGGGAGGCCCAGGCGGGCGGATCACGAAGTCAGGAGTTTGAGACCAGCCTGACCAACATGGTGAAACCCAGTCTCTACTAAAAAAAAAAAAAAAAAAAAAAATTAGGCAAGCGTGGTGGTGTGCATCTTTAATCCCAGTTACTTAGGAGGCTGAGGCAAGAGAATCACTTGAACCCAGGAGGCGGAGGTTGCAGTAAGCCGAGATCGTGCCACTGCACTCCAACCTGGTCAACAAAGCAAGACTCTGTCTCAAAAAAAAAAAAAAAAAAGCTACAATAAAGCTCTTGTCCATGCTTTCCCCTCACTTCCTTTGCCTTCTGACCAATGCTGCTGCTTCCTCATGTGACTCTGCATGGCCTCTCATGCCCCTTCCTCTTGGGAACTGTGAGTAACAACATATCTTCTCAATGGCAGTCATCTTCTGATCTGTTGGCCTAGTAATAATAATAATACAGATGCTTCTCAACTTATGATGTGGTTATGTCCCAATAGACCCATTGTAAGTTGAAAATATCATAAATAGAAAATGCATTTAATGCACTTAACCTACTGAACCTCATAGCCTAGCCTAGCCTACCTGAAATGTGCTCAGAACACTTACATCAGCCTACAGTAGGGCAATAACACTGAACCTATTTTATAATAAAGTGGTGAATATCTCATGTAATTTATTGAATACTGTATTGAAAGGGAAAACGAGAATAGTTGGATGGGTACTCAAAGTAGAGTTTCTAATGAAAGTGAATCTCTTTTGTGCCATTGTAAAGTAAAAAAGTTAAGTCAAGTCATTGTAAGTTGGGGAGCATCGGTAATAATGATAACTACATTTTAAAACAATAGGAGCTCAAGCTCTAGAGCCAGATCTCCTGGATTCAAGCTTATCTCCACCATTTACTGGTTATGGAGCATAGCCTTAGTTTTTCATCTCTAAAATAGAAACCACAATATCTAACTCATTGGGCTGTTAGGAGGATTGAATAATATAATTCATATAAAGCACTTAAAGTAACTGCCATAGGTAAATGCTAAATAAATGTGAGATCTCTCTCTTTCTCTCTCTAGGAAACAGAATGTGAGGCCCATGCCTTTTAAAAATTATTTATTTATTTTTTGGAAACAGGGTCTTTCTCTGTCGCTCAGGCTGGAGTGCAGTGGTGTGATCACAGCCCATTGCAGCCTTGACCTCCTGGGCTCAAGAGATCCTCTCATTTCAGCCTCCTAAGTAGATATAACTACAGGTGCTCACCACCATGTCAAGCTAATTTTTAAAAATTTTAAATTTTTCATAGAGATAGGGTCCTGCTTTCTTGCCCAGGCTGGTCTCAAATGCATGGCCTCAAGTGATCCTCCTGAGTTGGCCCCACAAAGTGCTGGGATTATAGGCATAAGCCACCACATCTGGCTGGCCCATGCCTTTTTGAAGCCTATAATCAAATGGAATTTTCTAGAATTTTCTAAGAGTCCTCATATTCATGATCTTATTTTGTACTTATAGCTCTTTGTAGGGTGGTGGCGGGTGGTAACTGTGTTTTATAGACAAGGAAATTGGGACTAAAAGAGTACTAGTTAGAAAATGGAAAAGGCTGGATTGGGATGCAGCTCTCCTGACATTTCATTCTTTCTACCTGGCCTTTCTACTGAGAGGCCAGAAGTGGAGGGGATAAGGATTTGGCAATCAGATAGAACAGGCTTAAAAGCCAGCTCTGCCACTTATTAACCTTGCACACACTAAGAAAAGTTGGAGGTCTCTGAGCTTTCATTTTCTCAACTGCTGAAAAGGAAAATAATTTTTCATACATTACCTAATTGAGGTAAAAAAGGATTTTAATCAAAGCTGATTAGAGTATGGTAAAATAAGCACTCATATAGGGTGAACACTGTCATTTTCTTATGAGGAATATCTCAAATACAGAAAAAGCTTTATGCACAGGGTTGTTCATCACAATACTATCTAAAAAACACAGTTTGGAAAAAACAACATGTTCAATAGCAGGAAAATAGAAAAATAAATTGTAGTATAGTCACACAATCGGGTAATATATAGCCATTAAAAACGACATTTACAAAGTTAATAACACACTGCGTTTACTGTTAGATCAATAAATCATGCCTTGTCTTCCTCTTTGAGTTTGTTTCATTTTAATCAAAGTTACACATGGATTAAAAAGACAAATAGTTCAACAACGCTTGTTAAGAAAAACAACAGTTCCCCTGGTCACCTGTCTCCAGACGCAACAATAGTCTTTAACTCCTTCTGCTGAATATTTGTTTTTTTTTATCTACCTAAAATAATAAGATTTTATTGTTACTTCTTGATTTTTTTGACACCCAGATAAAGGGACCAGAAAGAGGAGGTCTCTGCCTCTGTCCTTTTCTCAATTTTCGTAATGGAGTGAATCGATCAGCAATGCTGGAAGAATCTCTCCCACAGTGTCTGTCCCTAGGAGTGGAACACATATTCTCTCTCCACCATATAAAATGTACAAGGAAGAGAGAAGCATTTTTCTCCTAAGCTTTGAAGCGTATGAAGTAGCATAGGAGAGATGTTTCTGGTCTAATATTGAGTAGGAAAGGTAGCCAATGTGATTTCAATTAGGTTCACGTGGATAAAGGGCCAGGAGGAAACCAGCAACTGCTGTATTAGCAGTGATTCCTAGGAGGTAGATTTATAGGTAATCTTTTACTCCCCACCACCACTTCATATTTCTATAATAATCATTCCGTTCTTTTATCATAGATAAAATATTTAGTTCTAAAAAGCTGATGAAAATCCTATTTACTTTCCACAGTTGTTGTAAGGCCACACCCACAAAGAGTCTACTACGTATCAATTAGGTACCTCAGAGGTGGCAGCTTCCTTTCCTCCTTCAGCCCTGACCATCCTTGTGGCCTCTGCTCCTTGTAGAATGATGATGAGGTGAACATGTGCAGTTGGATCCAGGAGTAAATCATCAGGGTGCTATTGAACTGACATTGGTATTTGATTCTTCAGCAGTGTCACATTAGAGAACCTGCAAGGACATTAGGATCCATGATGAGGGTGGCCAGACCAGAGCTGGGCGCAGCTAACAGGAAATCTCAGCCTCCTACACCCAGGGCCACTCCTATCTACTGATGAGCCAGTCCCACACCGACCCAGCTGGGAAGAAAAAAATGGGTCCTGGGCTGGCGCGGTGGCTCATGCCTATAATCCCAGCACTTTGGGAGGCTGAGGTGGGTGGATCACCTGAGGCCAGGAGTTCAAGACCATCCTGGCCAACATTGTGAAACTCCATCTAACAATACAAAAATTAGCTGGGCGTGGTGGTGCGTGCCTGTAGTCCCAGCTACTCGGGAGGCTGAGGCAGGAGAATTGCTTGAACCTGGGAGGTGGAAGCTGCAGTGAGCCGAGATCGCGCCACTGCACTCCAGCCTGGGCGACAGAGTAAGACTCCGTCTCAAACAAACAAACAAACAAACAAACAAAACAAACCAACGAACAAACAAAACTGGTCCTGGCAGGAGAACTGTGGAGGCAGGTGAAGGGCTGAGGCTTGTGGGGACAGGGATGGCTGAGAGGGGGTTGCACCAGAAGGGGTATGAAAGAAGGTAATACTAAGGAAGCTGAGTCTCCCAGTTTAGGCTCCCCCAGAAGCAAACTCTGAAGCAAGGATTCAAGAGCAAGTAGTTGATTTGGCAAGTGCAGGGGCATGGGGAAGTGGAACAGGGACGGGAAAACCAATAAAGAATTTATACCTGTTGGCCCGGTGTAACTTAGTAGCGCCCTAGGTTATCAAGCAGTTACTCCTGTGTGCAACCGGAGCATAATCGTATGGGGAAGTTCTGAGAAATGACATAAAAGACATACCTCACAGCCATCCCATCTTAGGGGTGCAGTTGCAAGGCTATTTGTATACATATCCCTCTCATCGGTGGGTGAAGGCTGCTCCCAGGAGATGTCAATTCCCTGCCATTAGAGCCTGGTGTGCACTTGGATAGAAAAGCTTTCTGTGGTTTCTCAAACACTCCTCAAGTGAATAGAGGCAGCTCCTGGCAGTTGGAAAACTGGAGGAACACACTGAATTGGTAAGGCCCGAGGGTGGGCCCTGCTACTTACCCACCCCTGGGTTGAGGGTATGGTATCATTTCCCAGCTGGTGGGTCAGTAAAAGTTAGTTATCTTTGTAGAGTGGCCATGTAATTTATTATCAGAACTATGACACTTTTAAAAGGGGTCACTATTAACAATTATGCTGGGACAACAGGTATGAATGGGGATGTTTCCAGGCACGCCATGTGGACGGTCACTCCACCTCTCTGGATACCCTTCCTATCTAGGCCTGTAAACTTCCTCCCTCTTGCTTTTTTGTGTTAACAAGTTCTGTAGTGATTAAAATAACTGAGGAAAAGGGCAGCCAGAGTCGTATCTGTGTGGTTGGATATATGACAAAGACTATGGAAGATATAAGGGATTCATTCATTCATTCATTTGCTCACCCGTCAAACACTAAATAACTACTCTGTTCCAGGCACTGTCCTAGACTTGCAGGCCACTGAGATGCCTAGGGCAGCATCCCTCAAAAGATTCTAGTCAAGCAGATGAGACAGATGTAGAATCCGATAAATTAGAATATAGAACTGAACTGCAATGCAAATGTTTTCCTAAATTATATATGGAACACAATGATAGCACTGAGAAAAGGGAGAGAAAGAAAATGTGTGGTGGGGGACTGTCAGGAAAGACTTTCTGGAGAAGGTGAAATGTGTACTTAGAAGGATTAAAAACAGTTTCTGTAAGAGCAAGAAGTGGAAGAGTTTCTAGGCAGAGGTAATGGTATATATATAGGCAAGGATGAACAAAATGAATATTTAATTGAACACCTACTATGCACCAGCATTGTTCCAGACCATGGGGAATTACTGATGACAAGACTCCTATTTTCAAATAATTGTACACCAATGATCATTGAATGGATAAACTAAATGTAGCATATACATGCTATAAAATATTACTTAATATAAAAAAGAATAAAATGTTGATACCCGCTACAACATGGATGAACCTTGAAAACATTATGCTAAATGAAATAAGCCAGTCACAAAAGAACAATATTGCAAGATTTTATTTGTATGAATTACTGAGAATAGGCAAATTCATAAAGACAGAAAGTAAAAGAGGGGTTACCAGGGGCTGAGGGGAGAAGGGACTGGGGAGTTATTATTTAATGGGTACACAGTTTCTGTTGGGATGATGAAAATGTTCTAGAAATGGATAGTGGTGATGATTGCACAACAATGTGAATGCACTTAATGCCACTGAATTGTACATTTAAAAATGGTTAAAATGGTCAATTTCCTGTCATGTATATTTTACCACAGTTTTTAAAAATTCCTATTTTCATAGAGCCTACATTTTGGAAGAGGAGATAGACAATAAATAAATGAACAGATAATAGACCAAGATAATTCTAGATTATGATAAGTAAAATGAAGGAAAAAGAGGGATAAGATGGAGGGACTAGAGGAGTTTATTTTGGGGTCCTCAACATGTGTTTACCAACAGCAGCTTGGTACCCCTAGAGAATTAAGACTAAGAGAAGAATCTTGGGAGACAGGGCTAGAAAAGTAGTTGGAGGCCAGGATCCACATTATGGAGAATCTTGTATATTAAGATGCTTTGGCTTTATCCTGAGAATCAACGAAGAAAGGCAGTCATGTGGTTAGCTTTGGCCACAGTGCATGGGAAGCATTGGTGGGTGAAGCCAGATGCAGAAACACATGTGTAGGAGGCTGTTTCTGCTATTCTGCTCTGTGGAGGGAGGCCTCAACTTGGATGGTGGCGGAGGAAAAGAGAGGTGGAGAAGTATTCCATGTGTAGAATCAACAAGGCCTGGGAACTGGTCAAATGTGGAAGTTGAGGGGCAGGAAGGAATCCAGGTTTCTGGCTTGGGAGACTGGGTGTGTAGCGATACATCAGCTAAGCTAAGGATCAGAGCTGAAGGAAAAGACGGCGAGTTAAGATTTAACATGTTGAGTTTGAAGGGTTTGGGGAAGCTGTTGCTAGAGGGCTCTGGAATGTGGGATTGACCGGCATCAGGAATATAGATTGTAAAGCCAGTGCAGTGGCTCACGCCTGCAATCCCAGTACTTTGGGAAGCCAAGGTGGGAGGATTGCTTGAGCTCAGGAGTTTAAGACCAGCCTGGGCAACATAGGAAGCCCCCATATCTACCAAAAAAAAAAAAAATTAGCCAAGCATGGTGGTGTGCACCTGCAGTCCCAGCTACTTGGGAGATTGAGGCAGGAGGATCGCTTGAGCCTGGGAGACAGAGGTTGCAATGAGCCAAGATTGTACCACTGCACTCCAGCCTGGGTGACAGAGTGAGACCCTGCTTCTTTCTTTATATATAATGGAATCACATACACTGAAGAAGGGTTAAAAACTACAAGGATAGCTGACAATTTCTCAGATGTGAGTACAGAGTGAGAAGAGGCCAGAATCAGGACCCTGGGATACACCTAGTAGAAAACAATGGAGATGCAGGGGAAAAGAGAAAAATGATCAGCAAGGCAGGTCATCAGGAGGCAGAAATAGTCAACAGGCAATCCCCATTCTATTGAGCAGTCAGGAGGTCCAGAAATTCTTTCCTGGCCCATAAAAGGATAGGCTGAGCCTACTAAGTGCTTCCATGTTGCCAGAACTCCTGGTCCTGGCAATGACCAATCTCCATTGTAATAATTGCCAGGCTAGGACTGTCTTCCCCACTAGGCTGGAGGCTCTGTGAGGACATCCCAGGCTAGTTGCTCTCACCATTGCTTCCCTGGTGCTCCACACAGTACCTGACATGCCATAGAGGCTCAGTGCTCTGGTAGATGAGTGCATACGTGAAAGAATGATTTAGTTAATTATTTTGGGGTGTGTTGGGGTGTGTGTGTGTGGTGTGTGTGGTGTGTATGTAAGGAGGATTTAGGGTATGAGTTACTGGAATTTGCACGGACAGGTAGCAGAGCTCTGTCAGCTGACAGTTCCCCTTGTCCCAGCTTTAACTTTTCTCCCTAGCTTGGGAAATGGCAAAGCTAGCAATACGTCTGTCCCTGTGCTGCTCCGAAGATACTGCGCGTCAACCTGTGGTGTCCCTTGTGGCAGCACGGGCAGCTTCATGCAGAACACGAAGGGGGCCGTTAGCCTGTTCTTTTTCCTGGCCCCACAGAAGTTTTGGACAGGCTGCCAGGGGCTGAGCCCGCGCAGCCCCAGTGCTGAGACAGAGAGAGGCTGTGACAGGAGGTTTTGGGGTGAGCTCACGCTGCCAAACCTGGAGTGGGGCCTCCAGCTCCCCTCTAGCACTATTTGTGTCTTCCTGCCTCCTCCCAAACCACTCATCCCAGCTGGGTCATAAAGAAGAGAACAATATAGCCACATATTTATAGTCTCTGTGAATCATTGGTGACTAATTTTTCCCATTTTGTCACCCCAAATAGTTTTCTCTTTAGGCTTCCAGTGAAGGCACAACACCAACCAATCATTTCCATGAAAATGTACATTTTTATTTTAAAAAATTCCTCTCTTAACACAAAACAGAATGTTCACAAATGCAAACATTTAACTGAACAATGACCAGCTTTCTTTCTTTAAAAGTGACATTTTTATCTGCACCCAGCTCAGGAGTGGCAGAGAACTTTCTCCACTGAATCTCTGGACTAGGAGGACATTCCGAGGCTCTGTGGTCTATCTTCTTCCACCCAGGGTAGATTTAAAAATGAAAAAATAAATAAAAAAATAAAAAAATTAAAAAATTTAAAAAAGGCCGTGTGCAGTAGCTCACACCTGTAATCCTAGCGCTTTGGGAGGCCAAGGTGGGTGGATCACCTGAGGTCAGGAGTTCAAGACCAACCTGGCCAATATGGTGAAACCCTGTCTCTACTAAAAATACAAAAATTAGCCAGGCTTGCTGGTGGGTGCCTGTAATCCTAGCTACTTGGAAGGCTAAGGCAAGAGAATCGCTTAAACCCGGGAGGCGGAGGCTGCAGTGAGCCGAGATCGCGCCACTGCACTCCAGCCTGGGCGACAGAGCAAGACTCTATCTAAAAAAAAAAAAAAAAAAAAAAAATTCCCAGGGTGAAAAGTATCACTGCTATTTTCCTATTTTCCACTGTGTTTGTTGGCTGGATCTCCTTAGCAAAGAAATGGTCTTTCAGCATTTTGGTTACATATCATTATGTTCCATTTAGTAAACTCAGCTTACAAAAAGGAGGCTGGGGCAGCCAGTTTCCAATGCCCCAGTGCCTGTGACATGTTCTCATTTAATACTAATTGCTCCCTGTAAAATTTGGCCTCTTGAATTTTGTTTTTCCATGATCAGCATTCTTTATGTCTCCAACCAAAAGGCTCCATCACTCATGCATAACTCAGATAATTTATTGCATTGCCTCTGAGGAATTTCTTTCTATGGCATGTTTCTAGAAAACTCATTCAACTCCCAAATAAAACAATGGAAGGATGGATGGGATGGGGTCAGGAGAAGGATCTGGAGAGATGTGGGGTAAAAGGAGAAAATATCTAAGGATGGTGTTTAATCAGAAAACAAGATTTTCAGTTAGCATTTCTAAATTGCTGAGAAGCTGGGTATGGTGGCTCACACCTGTAATCCCAGCACTTTGGGAGGCCAAGTCAGGCAGATCACGAGGTCAAGAGATTGAGACCATCCTGGCCAACATGGTGAAACCCTGTCTCTACTAAAAATACAAAAATTAGCTGGGCATGGTGGCGGGTGCCTGTAACCCCAGCTACAGCTGAGGCAGAAGAATCGCTTGATCCCAGGAGGTGGAGGTTGCACTGAGCTGAGATCTTACCACTCCACTCCAGTCTGGGCGACAGAGTGAGACTCCATCTCAAAAAAAAAAAAAAAGAAAAAATTGCTGAGAAATGAATTGACAAAGCTGTTTAGTACAGAAGAGAGTGTTCAGCTTAGAGATGGCCCATGTGTGTGTAAGGAGGTGACAGAAAGTGTGTTGAGAAGGTGCAGCCAGCTAAGTGGTGGGCACAGGCAGGGGGAAGTGGGAGAGAGAGTGGCTGGAAGGAAGGAGAGTCAGGAGGCCATTGGGCATCTGAAGAGCAGACAGGATGGGTTCTGGGAAGCCCTGGTTTCCCCTGACGTGGCTGTGGCCCAACCAAGCTCAAGCCTCACATCCTACACCTTTCCCCGAATTACTCCAGCTAGGACTGGCTGCCTCTCTCAACTCCCATTGCGTGAATGTGTTTGTGCAATAATTTAAGCTGGCAACCCACAGCCATTTGAGGCATGCAATGTCATTTTGCCCTTGAGAGCTCAAACTTGCTACTTTGGGTTTGATTCAGTTTCTTGTTCCCAGAAGCAAATGACTTTTCACCTCTGGATCTCCACCCAAAGCATGTTTGGACCATGGACCCAGGCAGGCTTCGAGGAGCCAGATTTTCCTGCCTGCCAGTTGAGGTTTGCCCGTGCTGATTTTACACATTCCTATTAGTTTTTAATGAGTATTTTGTTTTAGCTATAAAATAGCAACTGCAGAGCCATAAACTTAGAGATCACGTGGTTGGAAGTGCATGCTTTAATTTTCAAAGTATCTCTACATAGAACCAGGTTCCTAAACCTTTATTAACGCCTATCTTTGGTCAACTACTACACAAGAATTAATTGAGTGCTTACTTTATGCAAAGCCCCAAGCTAGATACTGTATTAGTCTGTTTTCACACTGCTGATAAAGACATACCCAAAACTGGGTAATTTATAAAGAAAAAGAGGTTTAGTGGACTCACAGTTTCACGTGGCTGGGGAAGCCTCACAATCACAGTGGAAGGCAAAAGGCACATCTTCCTTGGTGGCAGGGAAGAGAGAATGAGTACCAAATGAAAGGGGTTTCCCCTTATAAAACCATCAGATCTCATGAGACTTATTCACTATCAGGGAACAATATGGGGAAAACCACCCCCATGAGTCAATGATCTCCCACTAGGTCCCTCCCACAACATGTGGGAATTATGGGAGCTATAATTCCAGATGAGATTTGGGTGGGGACACAGGAAAACCATATCAGATGCTATAGAAGGCATGAAAAAAGTCCAACCCTCCTCTCAGGATTCGAGACAGGAAAGGATTGAAGAAGTGAGTACCAACCAGTTGACTACATCAAACCAAATGTACTCTCCCACCTATTGCTGGTACTCTATTGCCTCCCCAGCCTCATTTTTTTTCACCCTGTTGCCCTCTGTGCTCCAACTATCAGAAACTGAGAAGTTTCTAAAGAAAGTTGGGATGGGCCATGAAGAAGAAGACCTTCAAGTCCAGGTGAAGGATTTGTGCTTTGTACTTACTATAGAGCCTTTGGATTATTTGATTTTGTGAGGTTTGTTTTTTTTTTTTTGGACACTAGCAATTCCATATTATTGTCAAAGGCATTTCAGAACCTAGGACTAGCTCTGACCCTTGACTAGCACTTTCCAGAGTCTTTGATATTGGAAGTGTTAACAGATGTGTGATTTTTTTTTTTCCCAGTCAGGCAAAAAAGGGTAGTAGTCTCAAAGGAACCACATAACAAAGATACCAAATACTTGACTTTTGAGGCCCAAGGCCTCAATGCAGGTGTGAGACAGGAGTGATGGGTACCTAGTGGGTACTGTGCTCACTACCTGGGTGACAGATCATTTGTACCCCTAACCTCAGCATCATACAATAAACCCATGTAACAAACCTACACATGGAGTCTGAATCTAAAATAAAAGTTGAATTTGTTTGTTTGTTTGTTTGTTTGTTTTGTTTGTTTGTTTGAGATGGAGTTTCGCTCTTGTTGCCCGGGCTGCAGTACAATGGAGCGATCTTGGCTCACTGCAACCTCCGCCTCCCGGGTTCAAGCGATTCTCCTGCCTCAGCCTCCCGAGTAGCTGGGATTACAGGCATGCGCCACCACGCCTGGCTAATTTTGTATTTTTTTTTAAGTAGAGATGGGGTTTTACCATGTTGTCAGGCTGGTCTCGAACTCCTGAACTCAGGTGATCCACCCGCCTCGGCCTCCCAAAGTGCTGGGATTACAGGTGTGAGCCACCGTGCCTGGCCGAAAGTTGAAATTATTTTGAAAAGATATGATATGTAAAATCTTTATTTAATAGTTCTCCCTGTCCCCTGCCCCACCCCAGATCAATACCCTCTAAGCTGGAGAGGAGCAAGAGAGTTTAGGGAGCTAGATGCATCTTGGGAGGCCTGAGACCTGTTTCCTTTTGGGTCTTGGCGTGGAGGAGATGACAGGACACTCCTACAAGGACGGGGTTCAGGGAGGTGAGGACCATGTGTCACTTCCCTGGGAAAGCCTCGAGTGGTGCTGAGCCTCAGAGGGTCCTCTGGCACCATGGTGTGGAAGCTGCAGAGCAGAAGTAGAATGTGGCATGTCTAGGCAGAGAACCCCTGACCCCCATCCTACCCCTAGCCCTCCTTCTCACCCCAAACATCCAGGTTTACATGGCTCTTCCAGGGGGTGGAAGTGAGCACAGAGAGTAACCTCCAGGAAGCTGCCAGCCTGCAAAGGGGCTTTCAGCAGGAATGGGGGCATGGAGCAGAGAGGACGCTGCCAAAGGGAGCATCTGCCAGGATTGAACAAGGGCAGCCCCTGTAATGGCTTGGAAAAGGGACGTGTTTAAGGACCAGACAGAAACATGCTACATCTCAAAAAAAGAACTCGGGGCAGATTGAGCAGAGACATAGCCTCCCTTTTCCATGGATGCTCCAGATCCCGCCCTTGGCATCAACTCTGGGGAGTGAGTAAGAATGAAAATCTTAAATTTAATAGAATTGAATACTAAAATGATTGAGAAAATGACTTAAGGGACTGTTTTACTTGGAAGTAACTATACTAGTTTTTCTGCATCAGCCAAAATAAGAGCTTGAAATGAAAAATGAGACCAATTACAGAAAAATAAAGAAAATGACCTTGTACCTAGAGGAGCCTTCTGACTAGGGAAATCAAACCTTGCATTGATCAGGGGTTCAGGGGTTCACTACCTACACATGCCACACTCCATTTCTGCTGCCACACCGTGGTGGCCAAGAGGACCCTCTTCCAGCCGGTGCCCCATCCCATCCACTGAAACGTGCTAAACTGTGCTCCTATTTACAGAACTATGAGCCTTGTAAGAAAGCCAGCAACTGGCCAGGTGCAGTGGCTCATGCCTCTAGTCTCAGAACTTTGGGAGGCCAAAGTAGGTGGATCACGAGGTCAGGAGTTCGAGACCAGCCTGGGTAACATGGTGAAACCCTGTCGCTACTAAAAATACAAAAATTAGCAGGGCGTGGTGGCATGCGCCTGTAATCCCAGCTACTCGAGAGGCTGGGACAAGAGAATTGCTTGAACCCTGGAGGTGGAGGTTGCAGTGAGCCGAGATCGCGCCACTGCACTCCAGTCTGGGCGACAGAGCAAGACTCCGTCTTGGATTAAAAAAAAAAAAAAGAAAGCCAGGAATTTGTAGCCTAAAAATAATAAAGCTAAAAGGGACTTTAATGATTGTTTGATCCAACCTCTTCATTTTAACAATGAAGAAACCAGGGCCTGAGAAGGAACATGACTTGCTCAGGGTCCCAACACAATTGAGTGATGGAGCTGAGAGAATCTGGTTCCTCAGGTGTTCTCACCACAACTCTTTTCCCATACCAGCTCCGGTCCCTCCTGGTCCCCTAAGTGCACAAATCTCTCCACGGACCAAGGACTTGGTCTTGCCCCATAGCCACCAATCATTGACAGCCCTCTCTGAGCTCAGGCACAAGCCCAGGCCTCCAGCAGGAGGGCAGCTGTCCAGTCTCCTGGGCTGGACCTGTGATCCAGAGCAGATGGCGCCAAGGACAGGGAGCAGAGGAGCGAGGGACATGACTGGGGAGCTGCCTAGCATGTAGACTTATGGGTGACCCTCCTACAGCATGACCTCTTGGCCCCAGAACAAAGCACTTCTCCAACACGCTATGGATCATGGCTTGTGGGGGACGACATGACACATGCCAAAGATTCTTTCCAAGCCACAATTGCTTTGGAGCCATGGCAGAAAGTCTCTGTCTGCTGGGGCCTGAGAGCTCCCCGCAGGCCATGCTGAAAGGAAGGAAAGTCTCAGACCTCACTGAGTTGGGACCACTGGCTGCCAGGAGACCACCCCAAACATCAGAACCCAAGGGAACAAGAGGTCAAGACTCCCTGCCCTAAAGGCCAACACCAAATTAATGAGCAACTTTCCAAGCAGGTAAGCACCAGTGTTGAGTTTACTCTGTCAGCCCTGAGCCAAGAGTTTTGCTCACTGTTCTCATTTAATCCTCACAATCTAGTAGGCAAGTATTATTATCTTTTTAAAAAGAGATGATACAAATAAAGTTCAGAAGGTTAAGTGACTTGCTAGGGCTACACAGTCTTTAAGGAGAAGACCTAGGATTAGAACCCAAGTGTGTCTCACTCACTGGACACCGTGGCCTTTCAAGAGGGCTCCTTGTGTGTCTTCAGCTGCAGAGTAGCCCTTGGTCATGCTTCAGAGCTTCCGTGAGTCTTTCTCCCAGGAATATCTCTCTTAGTCCTTCCCACCAGAATCTGGGGTGCAGAGGGGGAATAGAAACAGCCCCGCCCATTCCCTTGCAGGTTAGGGATTGAGAGCCAGGACACCTGGGCACTTGCCTTCCCCTCTGCTGACCACATCTCTGAGCAGCCACTTCTTTCTCAAGAAGGCTGTTTTCTGGACAGTAATTGGAACTGGTTCTGAGGATCTGCCACATTCCCTCAGGGCTGTTTTAAGTTATAAGCACAACAGCCCTATATTAGGAACGACACTCACTGAAGGCTGATGTATGAGCAGAGCTTAAAGCAACAAATAAAACCTACAATGGGCCAGGCTCAGTGACTCATGCCTGTAATCTCAGCACTTTGGAAGGCTGAGGCAGGAGGATCGCTTGAGCCCAGGAGGTGGAGGCTGCAGTGAGCCGTGATTGTGCCACTGAAGCCGAGGTGACAGAGGGACACCCTACCTCAAAACAACAACAACAGCAACAAAATCTACAGTAAAGTTAATCCCACATAGGGTTCAATGACAAGCACAATCATGGAGCTATATAGAAATTAGACCTAAACGATGAATAGTCCCTGAACGTGAGTGAGTATACCATTACTTTTGCGTAACTTAGCCAAAATGTCAGTTTCTCTATTCTCATTTGGTGGATTCCTTAGCTACAATCTGTCATCAGGGCTAAAAGTTTTCTTGGGTCACTATAAACAGTTTTATCCTCACTCTACTCCCCAACCCATATACCTACATGCATACTGATTCCCACACATATTAAAGATGGAGGTTTGCACTTCTGCTTGCAGCAGGGACCCTACCAACCCCTACTGTGGTCCAGGCACAAGGTTCCTGGTGTTTTCTCATATGTTCGTTGATGGTTCTAGTTTCTTCTGCACCTACTTACTCTCGCCACACTCTCTCTCTGTCTCTCTCTGTCACACACACACACACACACATGCACATATGCACACTAGCCCAAGCATGCCTTCTTACATGAGCAGAATCCTTGAGACACCCTCTATTTCCCACTCAAGATTCGTGTGCTGGGTGGGCCCCAGGTGCAGGAACTGGGACCCTGAGGCTGTAGAGGGCCTGTTCCCAGGGTCTTCCTCCATGACCCCTTTGGGCCCTCAGCTATGTCTCCTCCTGCTCCTGGCAGGGTTAGGTTGTCTGCCAGTGACTAAGTGGGGCTCAGAGGCCACCAGCCCTTGCTCAGCACTGGCGGCCTGACTCAGAGCAGTGTGTGGTCCCTGCTACATCCTGTTGTGAAGGATGCTGTTCCCTGTTTCAGAGGATCCTGCTCTAATCCCCCGACAGGCTAAGGAAGTCAGTAAAGGGAAACAGCCGTGGGGTTTATAGAAAAGCCCGCCCTGGCCTCCTTCCTGCGTGACGGCTTTCCTGGGCCTCTGTCAGCCCCAAGGAGCTGCGTGTGTTGTTGAGGAGCCATTCTGGTCAATACCGGAGATCAAAGGAAAGGTAATTTCAGCAGCACTAAAAATAGGCCCTGTGGTTATTTCAGAGCTGTTTTGCTAGCAGTGCAGGAGCAAATCTTGGATTTTGCTCAAACTTCCTGTCCATCCCACGGCCTCTTCCTCCGCTATGCTTACTCCTCAGTCTAGTGGTGTTCAGAGGTTTTTGACTATGTATGGCCCATGGTCATTTTCCGTTCCTACTTTGTCCACACATAGAAGCACACACACTGAGAAGTGCCATCAACCATGACTGGCTAGAACGATGTGCAATGCACTCTCTTTTCTATTCTATTTCTTTCTTTTTTTTTTTTTTTGTAAACTCCTTGTTATGATCCACTAAGTGAATTCAATGACCCACTGCTGGGTAGCACCCACAGTTTGAAAAAACATTAATCCATTTATTCTTCCTTTTTTCTTTGCTTTGATGCCATCACTACTCAGTTATGTGGCTTTGAGCCTTTATAGAGACTTTGCGTTTTTCATCCAAAGAAAGAGGTTGGTCAATAGTCTCTGTGTTAGGCTGTTTTCATATTGTTATAAAAGAATACCTGAGACTGGGTTATTTATAAAGAAAAGAGGTTTAATCGGTTCATGGTTCTGCAAGCTTTACAGGAAGCATGGTGCTGGCATCGGCTTGGCTTCCAGAAGCTTACAATCATGGTGGCAGGCAAAGGGGGAGTCGGCACATCACATGGCCAGAGCAGGAGCAAGAGAGAGAGAGGGAGGCACTGTACACTTTTAAACAGCCCCATCTCTAGAGAACTCACTCTGGTGCGAGGACAGCAGCAAGGGGATGGTGCGAAACCGTTCATGAGAAACCCCGCCCCATGATCCAACCACCTTCCACCAGGCCCCACCTCCGATACTGGGGATCACAGTTCACCATGACATTGGGCGGGGACGCACGTACAAGCTAGATCAATCTCTTTGACTCTCAGAAGTTGTGTGGTTCTGGCTCCTTCCTTTAAAAAGAATCACCTGTGGCATTTCCCAGGCCAGCCCAATCTGGGATTGAGAACAAAGGGGAGATTGTTGTCTTCCCTCTACTGGTCTGTCTTTAACATTGTGGTAGAAAGATGAGCTTTAGAGGTGGACGTATAAAACCCCAGCTCCCCACAGATTAGGGAGTTCCTTAACTTCTCAGTGCCTCGGTTTCCTTATGTGTACGGAGGATGACGCTATCTCATAGGGCTGCTGTGGGGGTTAAATATAACAAAGGCAGTGAAACCCTAACCACAATGTTTGGCATGCAGCAAGCGCTTAAATTATAGTGGCTGTTGCTGTTGCTGTAATTATTTAAATGAAAAGAAAAGTCACTCAAAGATTTGTCCAGTTTGAAAAGTCCTTGGTGGTCAAAATACCTGCCTAGTTGCCAACTCTTTCCTTCTTTTACCTCTTCAAAAAGCCATCTTTGCCAAGTGTGACAACCTCCAGTGCCACAGAAAGGCCAGGTAGGATCCCCTGGGCCAGCTGTCTCCACCTGGCTGGCCTGGTCCAGTGGGAATTAGCTAAACCTCTTTGGAACTCACTGGTATTTTCCACCTGTACAACCTCTGGAGGCAGTGAACAGCGCTTATTATAGAGCACTATGTAGCTTCTCCAACAGGATACCTCTTCCTGCACCGTTTCATTCTCTCATCTTGGCTGCCAAGTCAGGAAAAGTTTACCATTCCAGCTTTTCCTTCTCCTCTCTTCCTCTCCCCTGCCCTCTCCTCCCCTCTTCTCTTCCCCCTACTACTACTCTCCTCTCCTCCCGCTTCCCTCCCTTTCCTGCCCCTCCCCTCTTTTCCCCTCCTCTTTCCTCCCCATTTCCTCCTGCTCCTCTCTTCCCACTTCTCCTCCTCTTCTCCTCTCCCATTCATTTGGGGAGGATGTCCTCTTCCCTCTCAGACTTGCTAGACTTCTTTCTGGAGAAACTTTATCAACAGCACCTCCTTCATTTGGAGTGTTAGTTTTTTCAGAGAATTTCTGCTTTGGTTTTCCTTGGTTCCCACGGGGACCCTCTGGTTTGGTAGGGTAGGTAGGATGCTAATTTCACAGATGAGAAAAATGACTTGCTCGGGGTCACTCAGCTATTAGACGTCATAGGCTCGGGGCTTCTCCTGCTGGAGTCGATGGTTTTCCCTGCACACCTGATCTAGCTCACTGCAACCTCCGCCTCCTGGGTTCAAGCGATTCTCCTGCCTCAGCCTCCCGAGTAGCTGGGACTACAGGCATGTGCCACCATGCCTGGCTAATTTTTTTTTTTTTTTGTATTTTTAGTAAAGATGACATTTCACCATGTTGGCCAGGCTGCTCTTGAAGTCCTGACCTGGAGCGACCCACCCGCCTTGACCTCCCAAAGTGCTGGGATTACAGGTGTGAGCCGCTGCACCCACCTTACACCTGTTTATTTAATAAAGTCTTGAGGACAGCCCTTGACCTGAGAAAGGGCTTGTGGCAGCAATTAGACAAGGAACCAGGTAGCTGGGAGAGGGGACAATTGCAGATGATCAAACTTCACTCACAGGTGTAAATTATTTTTGTGGGCTATTACCAAAAATTACGTACAATAAGCATAGAAAAATTGTGACTCATTCTGATCTTCATTATAATTTCTAACCATTGCACTTGTTCATTTACTTATTTTTTTCTTTTTTCCTTACTAAAATATATGCTCCATCTGGGCAAGGGCTATGTTCGCTTTAGTCATCATTGTGTCCCCAACATCTAGCACAGTGTCTGGCACCATAAATATTTGCTGATTGAAAAAAATACTTGTTGGTTACATGACTCAATGTGCCACCTGTGGAGAGACTGGGCTGGTGACCTCTATCTCTATTTATGTGGCTTACTTAATGTATATGTTCTTTGACCTGGATGATATGGATGCCATGTCTTATGCACGCAAAGTGAATGGGAAAAGTGAAGTAATCATATGGGTAGTTCGAGCAGGATGGACCACCCACTCCAACCTCAATTACCTTATTTTAGGTGGAAGTAGTTTAAAACCCGAAGAAAAGGAATAATTACCTACTTTCTCCATTGCACTTTATTCTTGCAGTCCTAGCTGCAGAAGGATGTGGAAATCCTACCCTATTAAGAAAGCAAGACCTACAGCAGACACACAGCAGCCAGGCACGCGCTGTACCTGTAAACACATACACACACGTGCACACATGCAAGTATACATACGCAAGAGTGTGAAGGGGAATAGGAGTTTAAGAGAGTGACAGAAAGCGACATTGAGGAGGCTCATTTTCCATGAGGAGGAATCGTCCATGCCTGGCTTTCTGTAGCACCCAATTTCTTTTCCCTAAGTGTGCATTGCTGGAGCCAGGGAACTTGTTCCTTGACCTTGGCAAACCTGATTCAGCTCTGAGCTGGACCGTCATGGGCAGAAATGACTGGACTGGCAGACATAGTTCTAAAGAAGGTACATTCTTCAAATCTGGATTTAAAAAAAGAACAGAAAAAATCGCAGCCTAAGCCAAGAACTTTGGCTTTGTCATGTCAATAGTATTTAAAGATGTTATTTGGCTGAGCTGTGAGCTCTGCAAATGAAAAAAAACTTAGCCCTCTCTTCTCTCCCTTCTCTCCTCTCCCTGTTAGCTTCAGCTCTATCCCTGGCTCTCCACTGAAGCTTCACTCTTGCACAGAGCCTAAAGGCACCTTGTCTTGGGAAAATCACGTGTACATTTGATACCAACTTAGTCCACAGTCTGTTTTTCTTTCTGCTGTTTGCATCTGAGGAATTTGGAATGTCTCAGTCATCCACTGGTCTCCAGAGCAAAATGGCATTGGGGTGGGGGCAGAGTAGCTTCCTGTCATTTCAAGGAAGAGGAAATGGAGGCCCAAAGAAGGAAGGAAGGAAGAGAAGGAGACACCCAGTACTTCCCGAGTGTCTCCCACATGCTAAGCAACCACTAGCTAGTTGCTTTTGTGATGATATATTTGCGGTTCAGACAGCCCTGTGAGATGGGTACAATTGGTAGAAATATTTTCACTTCACAGATAAGAAAATTGAAGTAGAGAGGGGTTAAGTGATTTACTTAAGGCCACATGTTTAGTAAGTGGCCAGATCTTTTGGATTCCAAAGCTCATGTCCCTTCAACCGTGTAAAGGGAAGTGTTTTGTTCCGAGTTGGTGAGTCACTTGAGGTACATAGCGACCTGTCTTCCCCCTTCATTTGTTCTTGCTTCTGAGCTTTTGCTGACAATGTTCCCTCAGTCTTCTGTCAACATTCTAACCAGCTCTCAGGCCTGGTTCATCTCTTCCTCCTTTGTGAAGCTTTCCTCGAATCCCCAGGCCAGAATCTGTCGCCTCCCTCTGTGTCCTCGTGGCGTGTCTGTTGGTTAACACCTGCACGTTTGTCAGGAGCTGACCTGTGGTATGGTGGCTAGGGGGTGTGGGTGACACTTACCAACGTGGGGGCATTTGGTTCAGCCTGCCACCAGCTTGAGAAGGCACAGAGTGGAGATGAGGCACCGGGGCACAGGGTAAAGGAGAATCTTCTTTACTCCGCTGCTTGCCAGGACATGCCAAACCCAGAGGCTTCAAACCCTGCCTTCCCCTGGATTTGGCTAACCTGAATCCAGCCCACATTACACTCAGATTCCAGGAGAAGGCTTCCTTTATCCTGTTGGGAAGTCAGTGGCGCAGGAAGCATTGGGGGTGGGGGGTGTGGAGCAGGAAATAAGCTTTGAGCTCCCCCAAAGCAGGGTGTAGGTCTGTATCAGAAGTGGTTGTGGGGTGAATGAATAAATAACTCAATGATTCAGTGTTGCTACTCTCAGGAAGCCACCATGCTTGGTCCTGGGTTGAGAGAGCCATGGGGAGAAGACCCTGTAAATGTTACTCCCTGACTCCCCCTGGTTTCAGCCCAGGCATCACTGTGTGACTCAGGCACTGGCAGGTCTTCCAGGACCTTCCTGGGCTGAGTTCAGCTTTTTATTCACTCTGGGCTGTATCTGGGGGTACAGGAAAGCTAAGGCCCTTGTACCCCTGCCTCCTGGCTTGCCCTAGGATGATTCCATATCCTCCTCTTTTCTGCTGCATTCTCCCTGGCGCAATTCTCTAACTTGCTACTAGGATAATATAGAGAGACCAGACAAGCAAGTAGACCTGGGTCTTAGTCCTTCTCTCAACCTGGGTGAGGCCTAACAGCCACAGCAAAGATGTGCCTAAGCTTGGAACCCATGGCTATCCTCAACTATCAGCTAGTCTAATTTGAACCCAGGTAACAAAATGTGAGTGTATGTGATTGTGCATATGTGTGAGTGTATGCCTGTGTGCATCTACACGGGTGATTTCTCAGGCTCGGGGTATCTAGAGACACCTGGTTGTACTTGGACAGACTTGAAGTGCCCTTCATTTTACACATAGGGAAACAGTTTATTTCAGTTCATAGAAGTTGACATCTCCACCTGATACATGGGACATCAAAAATATATGTGTGGCAAACCCCATGGTTGCCGAGGAAGGGGGAGGGTCCCTGCTCATCTGCTCTCCTCCCCTCCACCCATGAGCCCCTCTTCCACCATCCTGTGTTCTAGGCCCCTTCCTCTCCTCGTAGCCTTTATGAGGAACAAACAAACAAAAAAACTCCAGATGGGCCGGGCGCGGTGGCTCATGCCTGTAATCGCAGCACTTTGGGAGGCTGAGGAGGGTGGATCAGCTGAGGTCAGGAGCTCGAGGCCATCCTGGCCAACATGGCGAAACCCTGTCTCTATTAAAAACAGAAAAATTAGCCAGGCATGGTGGCGGGCACCTGTAATCCCAGCTACTCAGGAAGCTGAGGCAGGAGAATCACTTGAACCCGGGAAGTACAGGTTGCAGTGAGCTGAAATTGCACCACTGCACTCCAGCCTGGGGGACAGAGCGAGACTCTGTCTCAAACAACAACAACAACAACAAACCCAGATTATATCATTGAGGATGCAAAGATGCTTTCATTATCTGGAGTCCCCATCTGTCCTTTCCTCCCCTGGCCAGCTCATGGCCCCGCCTTTCCCCGCAGGCCCACGCCTTACTGAACAACTCTGTGCACTTTGTATTTTTCCCCACAAAGCCTTGCAACAACCTTGTGAGGAGGGTATTATTACCCCCGCTTTACAGGTGAGAAGACTGCGGCTCAGAGAAGCCGAATGACTTGTCCACAGCTCTCAGCTGGCCCATAGCAGGAATGGGGTTGGACCTCAGCCTTCCTGCCTCCAAGCGTGTGCTCTGAACTGGCAGGCTGGAGGCTGTTCTGGGGAGGACGCACTGTGTCCCATGACTCTCCAGTCTCCTCGGAGCTGCTGAGCTTCCTGGCAGGAAGCCCATGGCTGCTTCTCTCCCTCTGCCCTCTGTCCACACTCCACAAGCACTCAGCTTCAGCTGATAACCACGGCAGGCGCTTGTGAGAGGGCTCTGACACCACAGGAGCCCTCTGAGGGGCCAGTCTATGGGGGGTGGTGCAGAATCCAGAGCCCCCATCCTCCTGCACCACGGGCACCAGCTTCCATACAAGTGGCCCTGGAGTCCTGACTCCCAGCTGTCAGCACCAGCAATCCTTCTCAGGAGCTAAGCCTTGGCACTTCCCAGGTCTGTAACAGGCCAGATTTCTCTTCCAGAGAAACTTCATCTGTGTCTGAGCCCAGGGCCTTGTTGCCTGGCTAGTGTCTTCATAGCTCAGATTCCTGTAACTATGAAGGGGTTGGTCCTTCCAGCTGCGTTCCATGAGAGAGGTGATGCCTTTTCCATTACATGCCAGGCCCTTGAGTCCTTTTGGCCATTAAAGGACTAGAAGAAGTCCAAAAACTTCTGGTAGTCTCTGAACCAACCCAGGTACTTCAGGTGTCTCCTGAAATGAAGCAGCTTTCCGTCCCAGGCAAAGGTCTGGGTGGGGTCAAAACCTGGGGACAAGGGTCTGGAGCTGGATGGAAAGAAAATAAGGGAATGTCAACAGCAAATGTAGCAGGACCTGGGGAACTGCCCCCAAAGAATCCAGGGGTGTCTGCAACCTACACATATAGGGAGTAACATTTTAAGCAGAGTTACTCTCTAAATTCAGCAAACAAGGAAAGATCACGTATGATCAGACTCACCCTTGACTCTTCCTTCAGAAGGTACCATGTTGAAGACTCTGACAAATTGGCGTTTCCATCAGCTTGGGAACAGATGCTGTGATTTTGGGTGCACATGCAATGGAGTGATTGTCTTACATTTAGGGACCATGTTGTGTGGAAGTGTGTATCACTAAGCACTAGACTCATATTCACACATATTGGGGCCAGGGCTGACTCAGGCAGATGGCTGGCTTCTGGCTCCTGGGGCATATGTTCACTAAACAGAACAGCAGGCTCAGTGGCTCGAATGACTGCACCTAAGCTGGGATCTGTGATCACGTGATATGACTCCACCGTGTTGACGCTCAGCATCTCCATGCCTATGTGCGTCAGGCTGGGCAAAGTAGCGGTGTTGGGACAAACAATATGAAAGAGCTGAGAGGCTGCCTCATGGACTTGTACCTGTGCACATAGGCCACTTTTGGTTTATTTTCAGAAAGTTTCTCTTTTTGAAGTGTTCCTTGTTACTGTCTCCACAACATCACATATGAGGCAGCCAGGGTTGTGACCACTTTCTGGTACAAAACAATGAGGTTTCTCTAGCACAATCATGTTTTAGAGCCTCCACCCTCTCCTGCACTGGAAGTTATCATCGATTAAGGGAGTAATTAATTAAGGGAGTAATTCATCCTACGAACTGGAGGCAGATGTCTTCTCTGTACTGGGGAAAGGTGGAGAAACATGTGAGCCTCTGATGTGACATGCCTGCCAGAGCACCTGGGCGTGGGGGGTGGGGAGGTGGAGAGAAAGGCAGGAGGTGCTTTAGGTGCCCAGGCAATAGCAGGGACAGAGGAGCTGATCAGGTCAAAAACCCTTCCAGTTGGGAAAGTGAAGGGTAGCCCCAGTGCTAAGGAAGCTGCTCTGAAAACAGAAAAGATAAGGAAGAGGGCACTGAATCGTGCCGAGGTTGCAATGATTTGAAAATCTTTCTCCAAATGACAGATTTTCCTTGAAAGTCCATTGAAAAGCATAGGCAACTGGCATTCTGCAAATATTTATACCAGCATTTAAAAATGCATTACTTTTAGGGCCAGGCGCGGTGGCTCATGCCTGTAATCCCAGCACTTTGGGAGGCTGAGGCAGGCGGATCATGAGGTCAGGAGATCGAGACCATCCTGGCTAACATGGTGAAACCCCGTCTCTACTAAAAATACAAAAAATTAGCCGGGCGTGGTGGCAGGTGCCTGTAGTCCCAGCTACTCGGGAGGCTGAGGCAGGAGAATGGTGTGAACCCGGGAGGTAGAGGTTGCAGTGAGCCAAGATTGTGCCACTGCACTCCAGCCTGGGCAACAGAGTGAGACTCCATCTCAAAAAAAAAAAAAAAAAAAGCATTGCTTTTTATGACAAAAGCAGTACAATGGTTCCTATGAAAAAGCTAAATATCAAAGTGATAGATAACGCAGAAAGTGAAAGCCCCTGTAATTCCACCGTACTGAAAAGAAACACGGGTAATAGTTTTGGATATTTAGACTAGGTTTTAGCCAATCATTTATTTATGTAGTGAAGACATATGCAGGAGGGAAGCATGAGTTTTAATTTGCCTTTCAGCTCTCTGGAGATGGAGAGCACCTTGCAAGGGCTCTTTAAAACAAAGCACCTTGTCCACCTGGTGGCTACCTGCATTTCAGGATAGGATGGAGTCGCCCAGCCCTGGGCTCCCTCTCCAGCTCAGTGGCAGCGACCTCATCCTGTGCTCCCCCTGCCCTCCTGTCTCCCATCACTTCTCACCTATGCTTGGTGTGGCATCCGAGATGACAAACGTGAGTCCTGTGATGTTGTGGTATAATAAGAAACATGAGGCCGGGCACGGTGGCTCACGCCTGTAATCCCAGCACTTTGGGAGGCCAAGGCGGGTAGATCGCCTGAGGTCAGGAGTTCGAGACCAGCCTGGCCGACATGAGGAAACCCTGTCTCTACTGAAAATACAAAAATTAGCTGGGCATGGTGGCACACACCTGTAATCCCACCTACTCAGGAGGCTGAGGCAGGAGAATCGCTTGAACTTGGGAGGCAAAGGTTGCAGTGAGCCGAGATCGCGCCATTGCACTCCAGCCTGGGCAACATGAATGAGACTTTGTCTCAAAAAAGAAAAGAAAAGAAAAGGAAAGAAGAAAAGAAAAGAAAAAAGTAACATGGATTTGGTTTCAGCCCCTGATTTCTGATTCTTAAAACCCTGGTAGATAGGGGTGCTAGGAAACTTTTTTGTTCTGTTATTTGGTATTTGACTCCAGTTCCTGACGCAGAGCTCCTAAGACCTCTATAATTTCCTGGATGATAGAAATGTCTGACACAGAGCTCCTAAATCCCTTGGAATTTCCTGGGTGATAGCATCTTCTGTTCTAACGAGATGGCTCGTTAGAACGAGGTGGGTTCCTGGATAGGCTCGGGATGGGGACGGGTTGCCAGGGAAACCACCCATGTGGTTAGAGGGTTGGGACTTTCAGCCCCATCCCCTAACCTCAACAAGGGGACAAGGGCTGAAGGTTGAGCAGATCACCAATGGCCAATGATTTAATCAATCATGTCTACGTAATGAAGTCTCCATAAACACCAAAAATGGCTCAGCTTGGAGAGCTTTTAGATAGCTGGACGGGTCCCTGGAGGGTGACACGCTGGGGAGGGTGTGGAAGCTCCGTGCCCCTTCCCACATGCATGTGCATCTCTTCCCCCAGGCAGTCATCTGCATCTTTTGTAACAATCCTTTATAATAAACTGGTAAACATAAATAAAGTGTTTCCCTGAAATTCTGTGAGCTCCTCTAGCAAATTAATTGAACCCAAGGAGAGGGCCATGGGAACCCCAATTTATAGCCGGTTGGTCAAAAGTACAGGTCACAACCAGGACTTGCGCTTGGCATCTGAAGTTGGGGGCAGTCTTGTGGGGCTGAGCCTTCAACCTGTGGAATCTGACGCTGTCTCCAGGTCTGCTGGGGAATCGCTTGCTTTGTGTGTGGGAAAACAGCCCCCATCATCTGGCATCAGAAGTGTTGTGTTGAGTATTGCATAAGAGTAGGAAATACACTGGTCTTTCCTAACACACAGAGGCCCTTTCCCAGGACTCCTGTGGGCAGGCAACACCCCCAGGGCACCCACCACCTGCCCTGTCCTTATAGCTCAGCAATAGTCCGATCCTAAAGCCCATCCTTCCTCACACTCTCCTCTACTGCCGTGTAGCAGAAAGAGGGCTGGATTTGGGGTGGGGGAAGGGTAGGGAGAAGACTGATGTTTCTTGCCCACTTACACCATCCAAAGAGTTCATGTACATTTAAGTGTTTCATTGTGAGGTTAAATGACGTGCCCAATGTTACACAGCTAGTAAGTGGGAGAGGTGTTTCTGAAACCTGTTCTGGCTGGTGGACAATTAGAAGACCTTGGTGTTCCAGTAACTCACCCTTAGAAAAACAGCTTCACCTCCCTGAGCTCAATGTTCCTATAAAGTGAGAAAGCTGGTTCTCAACTTTGGCTGTGCTTTGGAATCACCAGAGAAGCTTCAAGACACTGAGAACTGGCTCCACCTGGGGCTTCAGACATCATCACTCCAGGATGAAGTTAGCCTCACCTTCTCTGGCTCTGTGCTGTGCAGTGGGTTCAAGGGGGCCCAAACATGGGCAGGCCAGAGTAGGACTGTCCCTTCCAGGAGTATGGATGTTGCGAGTCCCCACTTTCTTTTCTCTCTCTAGATCTGTTTACCCAGACTAAAAAGTTCTCTTGCCCAAGAGGTTGTCAGGGTCCAAAATCTGTGGGTTCACATCTCAGATGACTCACTTAGTGATTACAGGCAGATGGCTTAACCTCTCTGTGCCCCTCTGTTTCCTAACCTATAAAATGAGGATAAAAATAATGCTTGTCTCACAGGACTGTTGGGAGAATGAAATGAGACAATATGAGAAAAGGGCCAAGCACAGCGGCTGGCATTCGGTAAGGCCTTTTCTCCATCTCCTTCCCTACTTCCTTGAAAGGAGCTCCCTCCATCATGGCGGCCCAGTGGAATGATCTCCATTCACTCTGTATCTGTGAGGCCTGGGTTCAAAGGATGACATGGAAGAGTCCTTGATGTCCAAATAAAGGGAAACTAGAGGACAGTCCAGAAGGGAGACAGGTAGAAGCACCAGAGGAGATGAACTCATTTTGGGGGCTGATTAGGGAGTTGCCTCCATGACCCTAACTCTAATCCCAACCCTAATGCTTTTCTCATTCTCACAGGATCTCTCACTGAGATGCCCAGATGCAGAGCTGGCTTTGCAACAAGGAATTGGGCTTGCTCTACCCAACTGCTCAACCATTAGTAGAAGTTGGAGGAGCTGTCTCTTTGAGATCCAGAGAAGTCCCTTAACATGAGAGCCCCAGCCAGGTGGTAGCACTGACTCCATCCCTGTCCCCTTCCAGATGGTCCAGAAAAACTTTCATGACACCTCACTGTCTATTTTTTCTCCCAAGGGCTGTGTTGTGACTCATTGTGCCATTATGTCAGGTCATTATGTTTTGTGACCTGGTGGTTGAGGCTTTCCAAGGCTCAGCCAAGGAGAGGCCAGGCCCCTTTTTTAGGACTCAACCTTAGCACTATCTCTGGGCCCAGTTCTGCCTGCTGTGGCTGCGAGGCTGGAAACACCTACATCTCCAGGGAGGGAGGAGCCCTGAGCACTGTAACCCAATGCATCTGGGGTCCCTTCTTTGCCTCTTTGCCTCGCCACTGGTTAGCTTTGTGATCTCGGGCCAGTGGCTTTACCTATGGAGAAGAGTTCAGCACAAGTTATCCTGTTTGACTCCATCTACCTTTTGTCAGGCTTGATCATAGGGCATGGTTACTTCCTCACAGCTGGAAAGGAAGCTGAGGAGATGAAGGAGGCAAAGTTCTGGGCCTCCAAACTCAGTGTCTTGAAAAGAGCACTGCACACAGGGCCTCACGTGCTGTCCTGGCAAAGCCACCCACTGACTGCCACCTTGGACAAATCGATAACTTCTCTGGACCTCATTTACACAGCTGTGCTAGAAGACAGTTGGTTTAAATCAGTCATTATCAAAAGTGAATTATTTAGTACACTAGTTTTGCAAGCTGCTTCTCAAAAAAAAAAAAAAAGAAGTCTCAAAGGTCAAATAAGTGAGGAATCCTGCAAACTCCACCCCCAATTAGCACATACATATATATATATGTATATATATATACACACACACACACACACATCTATATATAACACATCTATATATAGATATATATACACATCTATATATAACACATCTATATATATAGATAGATATATAGATAGATATACATCTATATATATAACACATCTATATATAGAGAGATATAGATATAGATATATATAGATATATATATATGACATATATATATATGTCAGCTTATTAATGGTTCTGAGAAATCCAGTAACAAAGAAGCCAGTCTGGCTTTGTTTAACTCACTTTTTCCTAAACTCATTTGGCCATTAACCTTTTTTCCTTTTTAATTCCTATTAACATCCTGGCATAGTAGCAACAGAAGAAAAACAGGTGAGAAATGATGCTGTCATCTGGAGCTGGGTCTCTCAAACTTGCAAGTGCATGCAAAACAGCAGGGGATCTTGGTGAAATGCAGATTCTAATTCAGCAGGTCTGGGGTGGGGCCTGAGGGTCTAGATATCTAACAAGCTCCCAGGTGATGCCCGTGATGCCAGTCTAGGGACCACACATCGAATTGCAAAGGGCTGATTCCAAAGGCTTTGTTTGGCTTCAATATTGGAAGTCATGTAGAAATGGTGGCTCAGGGACTCTGAAATCATAAGGACCTGGGTTCGGGCCCTGACTCCACCACTTACCAGCAGTATGACCTTGGACAAGTCATTTTACCTCCCTGACATTAGTTTTCTTATCTGTAAGTTTAGATATTGATCATGTCTGCTCCATGGGATTTTTTGAGAATTAAATAAGACTATGCAAATAAAACACAGTGCAAGACCTAGCCCATGATAGGAGCAAAATATATGCTGGTCATCACTGATGATGAGACACAGTTCAAGCCTCTCCCATCTGTAGGCTGACACCTACAGATGACACCTTTTTCCCTGCCCCCACTGTTACTTGCATCACTGACTGCTGCTCCCAACCCTCCTTCCTCCCCAGTCCCAAGGCCCTGTTGTCTCTGTGTGTGTGACTCTACATGATCTCTCTTCTCAAGCACATTCTGGTAACCTCTCTTGCTTTCAGGGCATCAGAGGAGCTGAGGGATCACGGCTTCTCCTCTGAAGATTATAGACAAACTGTACTAGCAGCCCACTAGTAACAGCACAACCCACTCAAGCAGAAGCTGGGCTAACACAGATAGGTCTTCCCGACCCTGTCCAAAGGGGGTCCTCACTGATGGGTGAAGTGAAGCATCAGGGTTAGCATGAGTCCATCACACTATCCTGGGCATGGGCCCTACTGACTCTCATAGACTTTATTGTATGTCACATGCAGCTACTTGAGAGTATAACTCTCACTGTATTCACCTTTGTGTTCCTCAATAGAGTGTCTGCAATGGAATTGTATTAAAATGTTCACATGATAAAAATAAATCCTTTACGAGCTAGCAAGAACTATATTTGGGCTCAGTTAAACTCCCTGCTTAATTGCAATTATGCTTAAACAATGGATTAGGACTGTATCACTCTGGCTGCCCTTGATCTTGGAAAAGGAAGGAAGAGGGAAGGAGGATCTCCATTTATTGATCACCTCTAGGTGTTTGGCTTTTGATACATATCATCTAAGCCTCTCAGCAACCCCATGTGACAGGTATTCATATTCTTATCAAATTCAGAGAGGCTAAGGAATTTGCCTAAAGACACACAGCTAGTAAGCAGCAGAACTGGGATTAGCGTTTAGGATAATTTGACTTTATTATCACTATAGGCTTTCTCTCTTCCCAATTCTCATGGCAGAAGATGGCTGCTATCGAATTCCAAGTTTTACATGTTATTGAAACACCTGGAAAGAAAATAAGTCTTCTCTCAACTTGACCCTGATCTTGGGTCAAGTTCTACATCAGGACCAATTAATGTGTCCATAGAGACAGTGTCACATTGTGCAAGCATGGCAGCCTCTGATTGGACCATGTGGATGGGAGGCAGGATGTAGGAGAGTGGATTAGTCAATGCCTAGAACAGGATGCTGGGCAGGTCCCTAGTGACTTCCAGTCTACGGCATACCCCTTATTAGGGGGTGGCAACTGGTAAAGAAGACATTAACAGGCAGATGGGGATGAAAACTTCATCTTGATCAGATCCAGGTGCCATGCTGGCTGCCCTCCGGCCCCAGTGCAGGTTGTCACCACGAGCTGCCCCCCTGCAGTGGCCTTTGTTTTCTTTGGCAGCCTCCTCCTTGGAGGGCCGAGGATGGAAATCAATCACATCCTCACCCCTTACCTCTCCTCTCTCTGTCTGGTTGCAGAGGCTGGTGTGTGGAGGGTGTGGTGGCGGATTCCACAGGTGCACACATCTGGGAGCTTCTGGACTCCTAAGTCCTTGCCACACTATGTTACATGCCTTTCCATTTGTTCAGCATGGAAGGAGGTAGGAGAGAGATGACCCATGTCATGGGCCTATGCAAGAGACCATTAAAACCAAGACTTTCTGGAATTTCCATGGAGTTGCAGGGTAAAACGAGGTGAAGTGCGAATTGCTAACTATTCCTCCAGACTCCCAAAAATGACTTTAGAGAGCCTCCCTGACCCTCTTCGCCAAAAAGTCATCCAGAAATGCAAACAGCATTTAAAGCTGACAGCTCCAGCTTGATAATTGTCCTCTACACCATGCAAATGTGAGCACACTTAATTAATAACCCGGGATGCCCTATCTCCACACTCGGAGGGCTCAGTGCCTTTCTCTTGGTCACCACCGCTAGCTGATTTTTAATTATCTTTTGGGACTGTCGCCTCTTGGAATGCTGCAAAGGAAATGCTCACCCCAGCTGGGCCAGGGCCAGGCCTGTTGGAGAACAATGTCCATCCCAGAGTCCATTGTGTTGATCTCTGCTGGAACGATAGCCCTCAGACGGAAGAGGAGCGTTTCACTGCAAACCGAGAGGAGGCTTGGTGCCTTTCCAGCACTTCCGTGGCTGTGGAGCTGACATGACTTAAAATACTGACCTCTTTTTAAACTTTTAAAACTTTGCTTCTGAAAATACTGCCTTGAACAAGGCAACTGGGGTCTTTTATTATGTTTTAATCCAACAATTATGATGATTTCCCCTCTAATTGTAGCAGCTGGTGTTTATTGAGCATCTATTCTGTGCCAGACACTGTGTTTAAAACAATTTTATTTTAATTTTCTTAAAGACGAGTGTGGGGCTGAGCATGGTGGCACACGTCTGTAATCCCAGCACTTTGGGAGGTCGAGGCGGGTGGATCACTCGAGCTCAGGAGTTCTAGACCAGCCTGGGCAATATGGTGAAACCCCATCTCTACAAAAAAATGCAAAAATTAGCTGGGCGTGGTAGCACATGGCTATAGTCCCAGCTACTTTGAAGGCAGAGGTGGGAAAAGTGGTTGAGCCCAGGAGGTCAAGGCTGCAGTGAGCTGAGATCACTCCATTGCACTCCAGCCTGGGTGACAGAGTGAGACCCTCTGTCAAAAAAACAAAAACAAAAACAAAAAACACCAAAAAACCCCAATGTGATACTATAGGCACTGTGTTTTACGTGCATCGCCTCATTCACACCTTGCAGCTGTGTGCAGTACATTTACTGCCCCCATTTTACAGAGGAGGGGACTGAGGCTCAAACATTTATATCCCCCTCCCCTACCTGAAGTCTAAGTGGCAAGCAGAGAGTGCTGGGATTTGAGCTCCGGGAGTCTGATTTCAGAGCCTACCTTTTAGCCATGACCTTCCTCTTCCCTCCTCAGAATTGAGTATATATTCAGTTCTGCCCAAGAACAGGTCCTGGCAAAGCACCCAGAAACCCCAAGCCTTGGTTTATAACTTTTATTTAAATTTTTTTTAAGATAGCTTCTCACTATGTTGCCTAGACTAATCTCGAACTCCTGAGCTCAAGCGATCCGCCCGCTTCGGCCTCCCAAAGTGCTGGGATTACAGGTGCGAGCAACCGTGCCCAGTCCAGTTTATATCTTTTACTCACTCCATCCCAGCAATCTGTGCTCACCTGCTTCTGAAAAATGGAAGAACTGTGTAGGGTCAAGGTGCCATGTTCTTGCCACCACAGTGAGTGTTGAGAGCCAGGGGCTTGGTGGACGAAGACACAATGTCTGCTTCCAGGAATGGACGGCCAAGCTTCTGGGTTTACCGGCTCTTGCAGATTCTCCGGTGAGGCCACTGGATGTTTCAGGAAACACATGGCTCATTCTCTTCTCATCTGGGATGTTGCAAGGAGAGAAGGAGTGAGAAATGGGGCAGGACAGTAGCAAGGCATTCCAGAGGGCTTTCCTGCCTCCTGCTGCTAATGGTTTTTCCATTGCCGTGACTTTGGGCCTGCAATCCTTCCCCTTTACTTGCCTCAGGAACTTTCCTCTCTAGCATTTTTTAAGCCACAAAGCCAACAAGCCCGGATTTTAAAGTAACCCCAGACCAAGCATGGTGGGTTGAACCATGTCCCTCCGAAAGACACGTCCAGGTCCTAACTCCATGTACCTATGAATGTGACTTTATTTGGAAATAGGGTCTTTGCAGATGTAATTAAGGATTAACATTATTCTTAAGATAAGATCCTAAGGATCTCTCAGGTGGGGCCTAAATCTAACAACTGATGTCTTTATTTAAAAAAAAAAAAAAAAAAGTGAGAGGAAGACTTGAGACACACAGGGGAAAGCCTTGTGAAGATAAAGACAGAAATGGAATTTGGCCACCACAGCCAGGTAATGCCAGGAGCCACAGAAGCTGGAACAGGTGAGGAAGGATTCTCCTCTAGAGTCTTTGGAGATAGCATGGCCCTGCTGTCACCCTTTATTTTGGACTTCTAGTCTCTAGAACTGTGAGACAATATATTTCCGTTGTCTTAAGCCAACTCAGTTGGTAGCAATTTATTAAGGCAATCCTAGGACACTAACACACTAAGGCAAGACGTTGTCATCAGCCAGGTCGCTGGGAGCCACTGAAGAGCAGAACCTGCCTTCCATGACATCAATGTGCCCATGGGGATTTGAGGCTGGCCAAGGTGCCAACCTTAGCCCACAGTCATGCCTGGGCTTTTACACTTGTCTGGCGTCTGTACCTTTGGGGACAGTACTGTGTGGAATGACTGGAAACTGTTGCTTGTACCAGCTGACCACAGTCAGAACTGTTCTGGGAAATGATGGCCCATTTGGTAATGGAAAGCAATGTTCTCCTGCCCACTCTCTCCCAACCTCCACACCAGGCACAGCCTGGGCCTCACTTGCTGACTCAGGCAGATGGCTTAACCTCTCTGTGCCTCTCTTTCTAACCTATAAAATGACGATTAAAATAATGCTTGTCTCAAGCACTGTTGGGAGAATGAAATGAGACTGTATGTGCAAAGGGCCAAGCACAGTGCCTGGTACTCGGTAGGGCCCTTTCTCCACTGCCTTTCCTATGTCCTCTAAAGGAGCTTCTTTCAGCGTGGTGGCTTAATGGAATGATTTCCATTCACTCTGTATCTGTGAGGATTCAAAGAATTACACCGAAGAGTCCTTGATGGGAGAGGGTTGGAGCAAAGGCGGGTTGAATTGCTCCATATAAAAGACTAACAGAAACTTCCAAGGGTCCTTGGAAGGTCAAAAGGAAAGAGGTATGATGATGTTGCCTCTTGAGGGATGGTAGAGTCTGGAAGAGGGGAGAAGAGGAGACAGTGTCTGTGGACAACATGGCAGTGGGTGGAACCGGGAGCACTAGAATGGCTGGCAGAGGAGGTCCCTGAGGAGGATTGGCCAAGGAAGCACAGGGCAGTGGTGTGAACTGTTCCCTCTCCTGTACTTCACAGTCATCGGTCATCCCCTGCTCCTACCAAAGGGTAAATGTTGGTTCCGTCAGCTGTCTCGGGTCAGTGCTTCTTTAGGGAGTATGGGGAGAGGGACACATCATGTGTGGGATGAGGCCGCATGGAAAGCAGACGACATCTGCAGGGGACACATCTATGAGGGTGTCTATCACAATTCTCCCAGTCTAAACAAGAAATGAGATTGGGAGACATGTTGCTCTGCAGAATTCCCAGGGGTTGGAACAGGAGGATGAAAAAAGGCTTGAAATTCTGACTGCAAGTGGGAAGAGAGCACCAGGCAGTTGACCCGGACGCTAAAGGAAAAGGTGAGCTCAGCGGCTTGAGGACTTGGTGACAGCCAGGAAGCAGCTCTTGGGGACCCTTTTGACTTAGCTCCTGATTCCCTGCCATGCTGGCGTGGTGCAATGCATTCAACAGATTCTCAATAAATCCCTAAAAATAAATTATGTCTTGCAGGGGCCATAGAGAGCCAGAATACTATGTAATATTATGCATGGGAGGAGCTGGTGCTGCAAACCAAAGTCAAACCATGCACAGGGAGCTTCGAAGGATCTTCTCCCTTTTCAGCCCCTGCTAGCTCAGTGGACTTTATCTCTTTCCTTCTTCCCTAGGCCTTTTCTCCTGAGTAAATTCTCTCCAGTGCCTGATAGCAGTTTGTAAACTTTTTCCCAGATGACTGCTCTCTATAATCTATAATTCTCATCAATTATATATGAAAATATACACCTATATCTAAGGACATATATATATATATTTATATATATAAAATATGTAAATATATTATATATAATGTATATAATTATATAGAGATATATTTTATCTTTCCTCTGTTCCTTTAAAGCAAATCACTCCCACTCCCACTGCCTTTTTTTTTTTTTTTTTTTTTTTTTGAGACAGGGTCCCGCTCTATTGACCAGGCTGGAATGCAGTGGTGCAATCATGCCTCACTGCAGCCTCTGCCTCCCCGGCTGAAGTGATCCTCCCACCTCGCCCTGCCAAGTAGCTGGGACTGCAGGCACGCACCATCACGTCGGGCTAATTTTTGTATTTTTTGTAGAGATGGGGTTTTGCCATGTTGCCCAGGCTGGTCTTGAACCCCTGACCTCAGGTGATCCACCCGCCTCGGCCTCCCAAAGTGTTGGGATTACAGGCGTGAGCCACCGCGCCCCACCTCCATCTTCTACATGAGGATAAGGAAGCTCTGAGAGGTTAAGTGACTTGCCTAAGGTCACTCAGCCAATGAATGGTGGAGCCCAGCACTTAGCTCAAGCCAGGCGGCGTCACCGCTCACTGCAGGCTGTTCCCACGTGGTCAGGCGCAGGGTCTTTCTGCCTCATCACTGAAGTGGGGACTTGAATACGGCTCTTCCTTTTCTTGCATCCTCCATGTGCCCTCCTGGTAAACCAGATCCCCACGGCCTCAGCCGCTCTTCATCGGCCTGACTTGGGCTTCCAGAGCCTGCCCAGCCCACGTGGGGCTGGTTTGGCAAAAACTGGGCTCTAGATTTTGCTTTAGCTGTTTTCTTTTCCACTTCATTGTTTCCGTGGGATGTCTGCCTTCCCAAAATAACACCGGGGCATTCCAGGTAAACTCAACATCCGACGAAAATCCCCATTCAGCGGCAAGTCCGAAGGGTCCTGGTTTTTGCTATTGTTTTCCTCCCTTCCTCTGGCTCAGGCGGGGTAGGCGTCTGGGACAGGTTCCCGGTGGAGCCTGGATGGAGGGGGAAGCAGGAGGAGGAGAGGAGGGGCTTGGCCAGCTCCAGCCAGCCAGCTGATACTCCCGCCCTCTGCGCTAGCACTGGAGGTAGCCCTGAGCTTTCCCTTCTCACTTTGCTGGGGAATGTTCAAAGGCCTGTAGGAAAAGAACTGGGCAGGGTCTTGTGCCCTACTTCACTTTTATCAGAGAAAGAAAATAAAACCAAGGTGGCCCCTAATTCTGCTCTGATTTCTGGAGGCAGCATGGATGATATCATGGAGAAGCACTGGCTTTGGATTAAGCCAGAGCTGGGCTGAATCCTGGCTCTGGTGCTTACCAGCTGTAAGCTGTAGCAGCTGTAAGTCCATAAACAGCTTATGTGTTCCTCTGAGCCTCCATTTCCTCATCAGTAAAATGGGAGTGATAGTGTCCCTATTAGAGCAATAAAGACAGATGAATTCAATGCCCCAAATAGGACCTGCCCCATAATAGGGGCTCAACCCATATAGAATAGTTTTCTCTGTACTTCCTAGGATATGGGAGGAGGGGGAGTTGCTTACTTCTTCTTTGCTTTTTTTTTTTTTTTTTTTTTTTTAAGACAGAGTCTTGCTCTGTCACCCAGGCTGGAGTGCAGTGGTGCGATCTTGGCTCACTGCAACCTCCGCCTCCCCGGGGGTTCAAGTGATTCTCATGCCTCAGCTTCCTGAGTAGCTGGGATTACAGGCATGCAGCGTCACTCCCAGCTCATTTTTTTTGTAATTTTAGTAGAGACATGGTTTCACCATGTTGGCCAGGCTGGTCTCGAACTCCTGACCTCAAATGATCCACCTGCCTCAGCTTCCCAAAGTGCTGGGATTACAGACAGGAGCCACCGCACCTGGCCTTCATTGCTTTTTGATGTCATTATTACCCAAGTGCTGAGAAGGTGCTGTTTAGAGGCCAACTTAGAGAAGTGGAAAAAGCAGAGAGAGTGTCGTCAGACAGGTAGGGCCCATGCCTTACTTGTTTATGTATGTACCCCTAACAGAATTTTGTAAAGCTATCCACTGTCTACCCCCAGCACATTTAAAAAATGAAGTTCAAAAGTTAAGTAGCTGCAAAAACTGTGGTTTCTGGCTTATTGTAAATATTGATATTTAAAACCTACTGTGACTTCACACTTTAAAATGGATCCAGTGGAATGTAACATCGACAATTTGGTAGCCCCTATCATCCATTTTAAAATTTATGAAAAAGCTGATTGGCATTCAGGAATTTTACATCTTTCTTTTTATCTCCTGGAACTCTTATTACTATTCCTACTTCCTTCACAGATTTTTATCCTGACATATTATTTTCTTATGCTTCAGAGTATTTTATTGATCACATTTACATACATGGAAAAAGCCGTTTTTCGTATTTTATACTTTTTTTTTTTGCTCTTGTAGGATTCTCCCCCAAGAGCAGGGGGAATGAAGAACAAAGTCATTAAATGAAAATTGTTATTTTATTTATTTATTTATTTATTTTGAGATGGAGTCTTGTTGTGTCGCCCAGGCTGGAGTGCAGTGGCACGATCTCGGCTCACTGCAACCTCTGCCTCCTGGGTTCACGCCATTCTCCTGCCTCAGCCTCCCGAGTAGCTGGGACCACAGGCGCCCACCACCACACCCGGCTAATTTTTTGTATTTTTAGTAGAGACGGGGTTTCACCGTGTTAGCCAGGATGGTCTCGATCTCCTGACCTCGTGATCCACCCGCCTCGGCTTCCCAAAGTGCTGGGATTACAGGCGTGAGCCACCGCACCCGGCCAAAAATTGTTATTATTCTCACCACCAGTACAAGGATGCAGAGGCCCTGTGAGCTATGGAATTATTCATGGAGTCATTCCCCACGTTGGGTCCCCTTTCTTTTGTAAAACGGAAAAAGCCTTAGTGTGTTAATTCAGTCTTATTCTCAGATAACTCCATTTTAGGGAAGAAGGCCGATGCAAGTTGAGGATCTGGAAATTGGTTTCCTGATTATTATTTTTGCCTAATTACCCTCTGGAATTTGATACATATCCCAGTTAGAGGACACTGAGTTCCCATTTAAAATCCAACTTTACCACTTAATATGGTCAGGTAACCTGAGGCAGGTTTCCAAACCTGTGGGTTTCCACAGAGGATTGCTACTAGAATAAAATGAGGTTATAGATATTATGCTATGAAGTTTAAGTTCCCAATAAATGGTGAATTCTCAGGGGATATGTTTTTCACTATTTAGTATTTATGAGATTAGGGTGTGTATTATTATCAGTGTGTACATTTGATGTGGTAGGGCTTTCCCCCAAATCTGTTTTTGAATTGCAATTGATAACATATAGGGTAAAGACATAGGGTAGTTTGCATCCTTCCAGCCTGCCCGCAATCTGCCTTCTTTTAGGTTTCCAGGCCCATTCTGACCTGGGCTCATGGCTTTGGGAGCTGAAATCTATAGCAAATAGCCAGTGATACCTCTTGAATCCTTTTCCCAGGTTGTAACTGTGGCTCAGAGCTCATCAGCCTGTAAGTGTCATTGGACAATTTTCTCTAGATCCACTCCCCTAACTGCAAGCTCATTGAATTGCATCTGATGTTTGCTTTTCCCTCCGCAGCTTCGTGAAAGTTTCTTGTAGTTTTCTTTGATCTGTATGACAGTTCATTGTCCCGAAGAGCTATGTCATCCTTGGATTTGATGGCTTCACTGTGTACTCCTTTTTATTTGAAAGAAAAAAGAAGCCAACTGAAAAGAGATCTGAGCGCTGATCCCCGTGAGAAAGGACAAAGTCACATCCAAAGAAGCCGTTATGCTGCCTTTGTTCCTGGACTCTACAGAGATCCATATCCAGTGTGAAACATCTCTCTGATCACGTATTAGAAGTCAGCAAATATCATTGAATGCATGAAATGAATCAATCCCATGGAAATTTAGTTTTAAACGAAGCTTTATTGTGAAAGATTTCAAGCATTGGGAAGTAAATTGCTGGGAGCAAGCCCCCCAAAATCTGGCTATAAACCAGCCCCAAAACTGCCCATAAACAAAATCTCTGCAGCACTGTGACATGTTCATAATGGCACTAACGCCCAAGCTGGAAGGTTGTGGGTTTACGGGAATGAGGGCAAGGAACACCTGGCCCGCCCAGGGCGGAAAACCGCTTAAAGGCATTCTTAAGCCACAAACAATAGCATGAGCGATCTGTGTCTTAAGGGCATGTTCCTGCTGCAGTTAATTAGCCCAACCTAGTCCTTTAATTTGGCCCATCCCTTCATTTCCCATAAGGGATACTTTTAGTTAATTTAATATCTATAGAAACAATGCTAGTGACTGGTTTGCTGTTAATAAATATGTGGGTAAATCTCTGTTCAGGGCTCTCAGCTCTGAAGGCTGTGAGACCCCTGATTTCCCACTTCACACCTCTACATTTCTGTGTGTGTGTCTTTAATTCCTCTAGCGCCACTGGGTTAGGGTCTCCCCGACCGAGCTGGTCTCAGCAGTAAATAAACGGTGAAGTGAGTGTCCATGTAGCCATCACTGGTTTCAATAATGGTCGGTTTGTGAGCCATTTTGTTTCATTTACACTTCTCTTCTCCCACCAAGGTCATTTTGAAGCCACTCCTTCACATCATATAGTTTTATCCATAAGCATCTCAGCATGCATTTCTAAAACATAAGGTTCTTTTTAAAAACCTTAAACACAATACCTTATGACACCTTTAAAGTTTAACAATTCCTTAGTATATTCAAACAGTGCACAAATTTTCCCAACTTTCTCTTTATTGTTTTATGATGTGGGAATTCATTTTCAAATATTGGTTTTAGTGGAGAAACTTGTCAAAGACTTTTCAACTATTTTTTTAAGTGTTTCTCAAGTTTTTGTGTGCAAAGCATTCACCTGGGGAGCTTATTAAAATGAAGATTCCTAAACTCCCTAGGCCTAGAAAGAGCCCCAGAAGTTCCCATTTATAACAAGCATCTCCAATGAAGGTGATGTATGTACACTGTGTAACCCTACTCTGAGAAAAACCCCACCCAGGCCTAGAAAAAGCCCCAAAAGTTCCCGTTCATAACAAGCATCTCCAGTGAATGTGATGTATGCAGTGTAACCATACTCTGAGAAATCCCAGTCCACATCCATTAAAACTCCTGTCCTTTTCTTTTCCTTGTCTTGTATTTGACTCCTTGACCCTCACCTCTTGCTGGGCTCCAACCTGTACTGTGATCCAGTTACAATGAATTTCTTTTGGTTCTTTGAATGTGCCATGCTCTCTTCATCTGGCCTTCGTCCAGGCTTTCACCTCTGCCTCGAACATACCCAGGCTCCGTTGTAGCCCTTCACCTCCTCTTCATTTAATTGACCCCTGTTCATCTTTTGGGTCCTGGTATGGTTTGGCTCCGTGTCCCCATCCAAACCTCATCTTGAATTGTAGCTCCCATAGATCCCACATGTTGTAGGAGGGACCTGGTGGGAGATCACTGAATCATGGGGGTGGTTTTCCCCATAGTGTTCTCTGTGGTAGTGAATAAGTCTCACAAGAGCTCATGTTTTGATAAGGGGTTTCCCCTTCCATTTGGCTTTCATTTGCTCTTGCCTGCTGCCATGTAAGACATGCATTTTGCCTTCCACCATGATTGTGAGGCCTCCCCAGCCACGTGGAAGTGTGAGTCCATTAAATCTCTTTTTCTTTATGAATTACCCAGTCTCAGGTATGTCTTTATCAGTAGCATGAAAATGGACAAATACAGGTCCTTGTTCAGCATCCCTTCCTCCCTGCCACCTTCCCTAAACTTCAATTCCAGGTCAGGTGTCCCTCCTACCTGCTCTCCCAGTGCCTCACGTTTCCTGTCATAACACCCATCAAACTCCTTTGCCACTGCATCAGAAGCACTCACTGATCGTGCTCTCCTAGCAGACTGTCAGCTCCCTAAGAGTGGAGCCCTCTTCTGTCTGTTTACTCCTACAATCCCAGCACCCGGTGCCTGCCCTACACATAGCCAGGATTCTGCGAGCCACCACTGAAAATGACACCGAGTTCTGTTGAAAGTTCATTTTAACCATACCAACTAGGGACAATTTTGCTAGCAGAAAATACCCATATTTTATTTGTGTACAGCCTAAAAATCTCAAGCATTAGCACGTATATGCAAAATACAGTCAAACTGGGCCAGGTGTGGTGGCTCACACCTGTAATCCTAGCACTTTGGGAAGCTGAGGTGAGAGGATCGCTTGAGTCCAACAGTTCAAGACCATCCTGGGCAGCATGGCGAAACCCTATCTGTGCAAAAAATACAAAAAAAATTAGCTGGGTGTAGTGGCATGCACCTGTGATCCCAGCTACTAGGGAGGCTGAGGCAGGAGGATCACTTGAGCCTGGGAGGTGGAGGCTGCAGTAATCTGAGATCATGTCACTGAACTCCAGTCTGGGGGACAGAGCAAGATCCTGTCTCCTGTCTCAAAAAAAAAAAAAAAAAAAAAGAAGAAGTTCAGTCAGACTAGTTACAAACACCTATTTCCAGAATGTTTCCTATAACATATGTTTGCTATGTATGTTTTTTTTGTCAGCACTTGCTGATACATATACAACTGTAATTAACAAAAAATTTAAAAGAGCAAATAAATTTCTATCTACTTAGTTCTTTCGTCTTATTGAGAAAAGATAGTCTTTCTCCATGCCTATGTTCAGCTCAAGGAATGCCAGCTGAGTTTTGAGGGAAGTCTTTTCTTCCTCCTCTACGTGGTCATTTACTCATAATGTAGCATACGATCTATTCCTGCCCTGTTCAGTAGGGCAGCCACCAGCCCCAAGTGGCCATTGAGCATTTGAAATGTGGCTAGTACAAAATGAGATGTGCTGTAAATATTAAGTACACAATGGACTTTTTTTTGGAACAAAGTCTTGCTCAGTCACCCAGGCTGGAGTGTAGCAGCATGATGTAGGCTCACTGTAGCCTCAATTTCCCGGGCTGAAGCCATCCTCCCATCTAATCTCAGCCTCCTGAGTAACTGGGACTACAGGTGCACACCACCACGCATAGCTATTTTTTTTTTTTTTTTTTTTTTGTAGAGACAAAGTCTCACTGTGTTACCCAGCCTGCTCTCATACTCCTGGACTCAAGCAATCCTCCCACTTCAACCTCTCAGAGTGCTGGGATTACAGGTGTGAGCCACCATGCCCAGCCCACACTGGATTTTAAGGACTTAGTATGAAAGAATGTCAGCAATCTCATTAAAATGGTTTTTATTGATTTCATGTTGAAATAATAATACTTTGGCTATATTAAGTTAAATAAAAATATTACTAAAATTAATTTCACCAGTCTCTTTTTACTTTTACGTAACTTTTAGAAAATTTAGAACTACATATGAGGCTTGCATTGTTTCCATAGCCAGCACTGATCTATACGGCTACTTGACCTCTCTGTTGCAGTTTTCTCAGCTCTAAAATGGGGATACCAATAATATCTGTTTTACAGGATCATCATAAGGATAAAATGAGTTAATATTTGTAAGGCATTTCGAACAATACCTGACATATGATAAGTACTTTTAAAAATCTTTGTGAAATAAATAGATGGTGCTTAACATTTTTAGCATCTAAACTGGTTGGATAGGCCCAGGTCCCCTACAAAACTGAACTTGAGGCAGAGCTTAGGGGCTAATGTTTTATTGGAGGGTATAATCCCAGGGAAAGCAGGACTGAGGGCAAAGGGGAAGTAAGGCAGGGGAGGAGGGAAGCCATCACATCATAGTTTTTTGTGGAGCTGGCCACAGCTTCCCAAGAAAACACATAGCTGATTGCTTGATCACGTGAGCCATCGAGAGAAGCAGTATGGGACCACTGCATCTTGGCAGAACTGTTGAGGGAAGGAAGGTGAACAATTTATCTGCCAGTTCCTTCCCATCTCCTGCTCACATTGGTTAAGGTTTGCCACTTGTGGAGTTAAGTCCTTTGCACTTTCTGCTTATGTCACTAGGCCCTTTTGGAAAGCCACCAGAGAAGTCAGAGATGCCTAAGTTCAGATGGTTGGACATGGGCTCTGGAGCCACTGAGGCCCCTGACAGGGAAGGCGCCATGGAAGGCTTGATGAAGCCTGGCCCTCATCTGTGGGGCTCAGTCAGCAATGAAAGGTGAGGCCATAGCAGTGGCAGCGAGGTTCATAACCACCGGGAGGTCATCATACCACGGTGGGGCTGCTCCAGCTAGGAATCAGGGCAACAACTGAGCCTAGGGGAAAATGGGGCCAAGCTGAGGAAGGAGGCGTGTCCTATAAGCCCCATATGCCCTGCCTCTCAGATCCTGATCAGATTTGCTTACTGGACCTCGACACTTACATGTCTCACAAGCATCTCAACTTTAGTGTTTCTGAAACTGAAGTTCTGGTTTCCGTATTTGAGTCTATCCCCTGACCTAGCCCCTCTGTTTCCTATCTTCTACAGTTCAGTAAATTCACCCACTTGCTTAAGCCAGAATCCTGAAGGCCATATTTGAGGACTGGCTCTTCCTCTGCCACATGTGATCATCAGCAAGTCCTATGGATGTAATCTCCAAATTGGATCTTCAAGCCATCTGCCTTTCTCTATCTCCACCAGATAGCGGGTCACCAGCATCTCTCCCATGGCTATTACAGTAGATTCCAAGAGGGTCTTCCTGCCTCCTCCCTTTCCTCTCTCCAGTTCTTTCTTTACACAGTAACCAGAGTAATCTTTCACAGTATAAATCAAGTCATGTCTCTTGGCTGCTTTAAAACCCTGCAGTGGCTTTTTACAATAAATCCGAAGTCTTTTCCATGTTCTACAAAGCCTTCCATGACCTCACTCCTGTCTTTTCCACCTCACCTTGAAACCCTCCCCTTCCTCCCTGGCCCGGCTAGCCAGCCTCATTCTTTCCTAACACACAATGCATGCTTTATTGTTTCAGGGCAGGAATTGGCAGAATACTTCCTGCTTCTGTTTTATAAATAAAGTTTTATTGGAACACAGGCATGACAGAGATTGATGGACCATGAAGCCAAAGGTATTTACTATCTGGCCCTGCACCGAATGTTTGCTGAACCCTCTTTTGGGGCCTTTGGCCTTGCCTCTGGCTCTTTTTCCAGTTTGTAGCCCAGTTGATTCCTTGACTTTCAGCTCTCAGCTTACATGTTACCCCTTCAAATGGATCATCCTTGACAACATTGCTTCAGTGGAAGTCCCTCTCTCCAACCCAAAAACACCCTTATTCTCCATCACACACTCTGCTTCTGACCTTTGTAGCATTTTCTCAATTTTAGATTACATATATATTTATTACTTTACCTGTTTACTGTCCATATCCTTCCCTGACAACTCTAAGCTCCACGAGGGTAAGGACTGTGGCTGTTTTGTTCAGTATTGCACTCCTTGCACCTCCAAGTGCCTTCTCTTGCTAATAAACCACCGGAATTCCTGCATCCAGTTGAGGCTTGATCCCTTCAGAGCGGCTCCTACTCTCCCAACCACTCCGCTAGTCTGTATACTGATCCAGCAATTCTCCGCTACTGAGGTGAGGTTGGGCACAGGTGATGCTTCCAGAGAGCAGTTGAGTGTGGAGTCTGAGCCACAGGGTTGCATTTCCTAACAATTCTCAGCCATCTGAGGAGTTGTGACACCACCTCACTGTGTGTTTGATTTTTAAAAAATGATGTTACAGGCCGGGTGTGGTGGCTGACGCCTGTAATCCCAGAATTTTGGGAGGCCGAGGTGGATGAATCACCTGAAGTCAAGAGTTTGAGACCAGCCTGGCCAACTTGGTGAAACCCTGTCTCTACTAAAAATACAAAAATTAGCTGGGCGTGGTGGTGCCTGCCTGTAATCCCAGCTACTCGGAAGACTAAGACAGGAGAATCACTTGAACCGGGAGCCGGAAGTCGCGGTGAGGCAAGATCGCACCACTGCACTCTCCAGCATGGGTGACAGAGTGAGACTCTGACTCAAAAACAAAACAAAACAAAAAAGATGTTACAATTCCCTCACTGTTCCACACATTCTAGAAAATAAAAACTGAGCACAGGGTAGCATGCATTTATCTTTCATTAAAACAACCTGAGAGTTACTTTGGGGAGCAGTAATTCTGGAGGGCTGCCGGGAGGAGGTCCCTCAGCAGCACTTGTAGTTGCCTCCTCTGCAGCCACCTTGAGCCTGTGCCACCTTCCAGGGTCCTGATTCCTTGCTAACTTCCCCAGAGCACGGGCTGGACAGGTGCAGTTGGGGCTGGGAGGCCAGGCAAGCAGCTGCAGCTCAGGGGCACTGAGGGCGCGGGCCTGGAGACCGTTCTTGGGGAACAGGCCGAAAGAAACCAGGGACATGTAAACACATCAGACTGAGACTCAGGCCCCAGAACCATTGCTTTCAGATGTACACAGGCAGTCATGGGGAGGAGATGCAGAACAGGAAGTGGTTTAGAAAGCCACTCTCTCAGCTTTACAGATGAGAAAACTACATCTAGAGAAGGGACCTACCGGGTTAAAATTAGAACGGACAAGAACACAGGTCTCTCACCATTCTCCTAGTGTGTTCTTCTAGGCTGAATCACCCAGGCTGTCCTAAGCTTCTAAGGTGTCCTCCCGGACAGTATCTAGAATGGCTGGGCACAGCTAGGATTTCTCTGGAAAGCTTCATGGAGGGGGCTTGGAAGAGCACTGGACTTGGCCTTGGGTGAAGCTAGGTTTGAACCCTGTCCTCTCAATAGCTGCAAGTCCAGGACTAATGTCCCAAACTGCTTTGAGCCTCAGTTTCACAACCGTAAACTGTGGTAAGAGTCTCTGAATTGCTGGACAGTTTTGAAGATTCAATGAAGTAAGACCCGAGTGTGCCTCAGGAGTTCCAGATACATAGCAGGCATGCAGACATTCAGTCAATATTAGTTGGATTTTGAGTAGCCAAGCTAGCAGAGGAGGGGCCGGAGCAGGAAACCGTGTATCCATGGGGTATGGTGTCTTCTATAGTAATTCCAAATGAGTTCATCAAAGGAAGAGTCCACGACAAATGGCCCTTTTCCATCCCCTCAATCCCAACCTCCCAGAATACCATGTTTCGGGTACTACAAGGATGACGGTTGCATCTCTCCAATGTCTTCAGAGGAATCAGGGTTTATACTCATAACATCTTACATCCTGGGACATAGGTTTCAGTATGACCTATGCTATTGTCTTTGGATACCTGCTTACCAAAGGCATTCCACCCTCTCTAGGCCATTTGATAAATATCCAGCGAAACAATGTTATCATTGTTGGGTGGTTCAGCTCCCCACCCACTCTGGCAACAAAAGGATATCGTTAATGTCCTCTGTGCAACAAAAGGATATCATTTGTCTTAATCTGGGGCATGTGTTCAGAGTCCTTTGAGATCTCAGAGCATTCTTCTTCCCCCAGATCCAGGTTGCCTGACTGTGCTCTGAGAAATTCTGAGTGTTCAACAGAGCCTCTGCTGGTGGGAGAGGGGCCAGAGTGGGTGGGGTGCTGAGCCACCCATCACCCTTCCTTCAGAGAAGTTTCAGTTTTAGCTCTTTGCATATTGGGTATCTTTGTAAGATTATATTTGAACTAAAATTTTTGCAGTTAAAAACCAGTTTGCAAATTGTGCACTGGAGACTGAAACTAATGGCTGCCAGGTTCTGTCCTAGGTGGTTGGCACATGTCATCTTGCCTCATATACTCCTCCTGATAACCATTTGAGTGGGTGTGATTAGCCTTGCTGCCGTGATGAGGAAACAAGCATTCTGAGAAAGGAAGGAATTAGCTTTAGGAGCTAAGAAAAGAAGGATCCCAGGACTGGAACCCAGGCCTGCCTGGCTGGAAGCGACACCTTCAGACCCTGCAGAATACTATCACAGCGTGATGCTAATAACATGGATTTCCAGTTGGAGATCTGGGTTCAAGTTGTGTTTCTGCCTCTTCCTACTTGAATGATCCCTGACTGGACACTGTATGTTATTTGAGCCCTGTTTTCCTCCCTGAAAAAATGGGTATGATAATAATACTAGTCAGAAGATGCACACCCTTACATCACATTCCAGTGATGCTATTTGTGTGGCATCTTGGGGGAGAGACCCCGACTGCCTCCTTCAGAACCCCTCATCCCCAGGCTGAGCTGGCCTGACTGCCAGCAGACTCCTCATTCATAATGATCCCAGTCTTGGGGTTGCTGAACCTGCAAGGGTGAAGTTTCCCTGGGGGCCCAGAAGCCCTTTCTTGCGCTCAGTCTGGGGCTATGGGGCTCAAGATCAAAGTGTGTGCTCTGCTTTCCCTGGGTGAGACACATCCCTTCACCCTGCAGCCTTCTTTAATTAGCTCAGAGCCTTAGAGCAATACCTTTTTTGGGTTCTTATCAGCACTTCCTGATAAAGTAATTAATGGGTTTCTCTTCTCCACTGAGCATCCTGCTGCCCCAGAGGGCTGAGCTGGGAAGGAAGGGGCTAATTAGCTCCTGTGTGATTATCTGGCTAAAGCAACTGCGCCAAGTCTCTGCAAATCTGTATGGAGCCCTCATCCTCCCCTGGGTGAAACTTCAGCTCTCTGTTTATTCCTTTTGCTTGGTGCCAAGTCTGCCCACAAAGTTCAGCCCCTTCCACAGAGAGCCTCTCTTTCTCTTATCACCAACATCTGCAGGTGGCACTGTGGGACCCAGGGTCCTGCCTTGAGCCTTGAAGCCAGTCACCTGGGAGCTCTCAGGGAGGTCCCTGGAAACCTGAGCATTCCAAAGCGAGTCCAGACTTTCCAAGCCTGCCTCTGTGAAAAACACAATGGCAGCAGAGTGTTGTGGAAAGAGCCTTCATCTGAGGCCATAGACTGACTCTAGACTGCCACCTGCCACCAAATAAGCTGTGTGACCTTGCGTAAATGATGCATTCTCTCCAAGTCTCAGTTTCCATAGCTTTTTAAAAAGGGAGTGGGGACAGGGAGTTGGTATATAATCAGGGATGGCAAATGCGTGGTTTTCCCAACTGTGATGAATTTGTCATGACTCTGCACCATGTTGACAGCGATGAAGCCATGTCCAGTTCCAGTGGGGAGACTGGAGATGCTGACCATGATGTCTGTCATTGTTGATGTAGGTGCAAGGCTTCCCATCAGCAGCACTACTGGCATTTGGCAAGGGCTATCTTTGCTGTGTTTGACGGTGCTATACCTCTCAGGTATTAGTACCTTTCAACAGCAATCATTGAAAGGCAAACAAATACTTTGCATGTTTCCAAAGATCCCCTGGGGGCTATGCTATCCTTGGTTGAGAACCTTAGGTAGGCAGATGGTGGTAAGGGTCAGGATTCTTTGGGCTACAAGTGACAAAGACCATACTTAAATTAGTTTAGCTAAAATGGAAATACAGCCATTTATGTAACAGAGAAGCTGAAGGAGAGACTTGGGCTGCCTTTCTCCATCCAACATAGCTAATTAATCTCTCCTTCAGAAGAATCTGCGGTAAGGTAAGTTCTTTTTAGATCCTCTGCCTCCCCAAGCCCTTTCTATCTGGGAGGAAACAACGGAAAAGATGAGCAGCAAGGTCATTCCAAAGGTGGGGGATAGATCACCCCTTTGCTCAGCCTGGCAGGCTAGAACATTAGCAGGGACTTAGGCACAGCCAACTGTGGGTGCCTGCCTGGGACTTTGTTCTAGAGAGGCCACACAAAGACTCTTGGCTCTATCCAAGGTTATTGTTGGTGGCGGTGGTGCTGAAGTTGGGGTTTTGGGGCAGGGTAAGTGTGTCCAGAGGTGATGGGGTCCAGTAGGGCAGTGATGGCTGTAGCAGCCTCCCACGCTGAATTCCTGTGATGAGGACTCGCCTAGGCCTTTGCCACCCTTAGCTTCTACATGTACTTTTTTCTTCGGCCTTCCTGTTTATCCTGTGGGTGGCCCAGGACCTTTCCAATAAATTATTTTCCTGATTAAGTTAACTAGAGCCAGTTTCTATTGCTTGCAACCCAGACCCTCGCTAATATAGTTGGAGTGGGGCATCTGGGTAGGACGAAAAGCCAGTAAGCAGGTCAGTTGCTCCAAAGTCTCGGGGGGCTTCTGGAAGGTGGTTAGGAAGCAAAAGCCAGCAGGACCCAAAGGCCACGGAAGCAATTTTTCTTGGTGATTGTGCTAGTGATCTCACTGAAGACAGGAAATTCCTCCTCACAGAGAAGACTCACTTCTATGTAAGGCTCCGCTTTTGGGGGCTAGTTCCTGGCACCCCTATCTCATGATCTACCTCTTTGCTAAGCTCAGGTCCCAGTGGCAGACAGGATGAGTCTGTGCTGTACTCCCTACCCATCATGCCCCTTTCTTTACCACATGGGATTCAGTGGATAGGTGTCTCCACACTTGTCACTGTCAGTTCTAGAAAACAACATAAAGCAAGTGCCTGAGCTGAACGCACAGCCAGAGCAGGGCCTGGGTCTTTCCCTCCTCCCAGATTAACTCAGACACAGACAAAGAAGGGCTGGGGTTCTTGCTATGAAATCTGTGGGTGGGGAGAGTCCGCTTTGCAGTGGAGTTGATTGTAATAAACTCCCCCTCCTCCTCCAGCAGGAAATGGCCAATGTAAAACCCTAAATGAGGGCCGGAGTCTAGAAGAAACTGTAATAGGAACAATGACAGCATCCTCTGTAGGAGCTGCAAAGAGAACAGACCAGGATGTGAACCTGGTTGTTTTCCTGTGAGATCCTCTGCTACATTGTTTGCCCAAGGTCAAGGCTCTTTGAGTTAGCCTAGTGAATTGTTCACCCCCAGCCTCTCACCTCGCAAGTGCTCAGAGGGTCAAAGCCATGCAGTAGAGATTGGGGGTTGAGACCATGAACTCTGGACTTTGGAGCCAGACTGCCTGAGTCCAAATTCCAACTCTGTCACAAGATGAGTACATGTGGGCAAGTTATTAAATTTCTGTGCCTCCATTTTCTCCCCTGGAATGATAAAAATAGGATACCTACCCCTGAAATTCCTGGGGAAGAATTTCCATTCTTCAATGAGATCACCTCATAAGATTACCGTGAAGAGTGAAAGGGCCTGGCACAGAGCATGATCTTAATAAATGTCAACATCTTAGTGCCCTTGTGTGGTACCTGATCATGGTGGTTCTCCTGACCAGTTGAATAGATGACCCAGTTCTCCAAGGTATTCCTGAATGAGGCCAGGAAGTAAGAATAAAGTCATTATGGTCTGGGAGGACCCAAAGTTTATGTTTGTTCCTTAAAACCAAAGAGATATGGTGCTCAGTGGCCACTGTGGGTGAAGTGGCCCTGAAATCTGTCCTGAAGTCTGTCACCTCAGGAATGCTGTGACAGGCCCATGGGGACATGCATGCACACATGGATACACACACATTCACAAACATGCACACATGCACAGGCACACACACACAGACACATGCACAGGCACACACACGAGCACACATATGGATACAAAAACATGCACACACAGACACACATGCACACAAATGAACATATGCACACATGGACACACAAACATGGGTACGCATGGACACACAGATGCATGCACACATGGACACATGAACACATGCACATGGATGTAAAACACATGCACACACAGACACACAAACACATGCACACACACAGACACACACAAACACATGCACACACATGGACACACAAGCACATGCACACACACGGACACACACAAACACATGCACACACACGGACACACATGGACACAAGCACAGAGACACACGGACACACACAAACACATGCACACACACGGACACACATGGACACAAGCACAGAGACACACATACACACACAAACATGCACACGCATGGTGCATTAGTCCATTCTCATGCTGCTGATAAAGACATACCCGAGACTGGGTAATTTATAAAGAAAAAGAGGTTTGGTGGACTCACAGTTCCACATGGCTGGGGAGGCCTCGCAATCATGGTGGAAGGCAAAGGAGGAGCAAAGACACCTCTTACATGGCGGCAGGAAAGAGAGCGTGTGCAGGGGAACTCCCCTTTATAAAGCCATTAGATCTCATGAGACTTATTCACTATCACGAGAACAGCATGGGAAAGACCCGCCCCCAAGATTCAATTTCCTCCCACCAGGTCCCTCCCATGACATGTGGAAATTATGGGAGCTATAATTCAAGATGAGATTTGGGTGGCAACACAGCCAAACCATATCAGATGGGCACACATGGACATAGACACACTTGAACACATGCATACAGAACATGCACGTACACAGACACACAGGCATGCACACACAGACACGTGCATGTGCACAGACATACATGGAGACACACAAACACACACACGGACACATACACACATAGACATACAAACATGTGCATATGCATAGATGCATGCACACACACGGACACACATGCACACATAGACATACAAACATGTGCATATGCATAGATGCATGCACACACACGGACACACATGCACACATGGGCACATGCATACATAAACACATGTGCACACAGAGACATGTACACATACACAAACACATGACACATTCACACACACAAACACATGCACACACAAGGACACATGCACACATTCACACACAGACATATACACACATTTGGACACACACACATGCTTGCATGGGAACTCACAGCCACATGGATGATGTTCTCAGTCAGCTCAGTCACAGTCACTGAGCGACCTTCTTACATCCCCTTCCTACATCTCCCCTAGCAGTGGGGGATGCCACCTCTGACCTATCTTCCCTGGAATCAGAGTCCTCTAATTACTTTTCTAGCCTACAAACACTTTCAGTGGCCAAGATGGAGACCCTGGAAGAGGAGAAGCAGGCACTTGGTATAAACCAGTGTTCTTAAACTCCCCACACCCAGAAACTCTCTTGTTTTTTCCTTCTCAACTCTCCCCACACAGAATTCAGAAACCCCTGAGCAGCTGACTCCCTCACAGGTCTGGGAGCACATAGCTATGCCGTTGCTCCCATCTTTGTCCTAGGGCCAGAATAAGATCTTTATTGACAGTAACAGTAATAATATTATCATTAATAGTAGCAAATGTTTAGAAGGCATTTACAACATGCTTAATACTGTTCTATATGTTTTTTAATACATATTAACTCTTTTTAATCTTCTTAATTATTTTTTCAGAGACAGGGTCTTTCTCTTTTGCCCAGGCTGGAGTGCAGTGGCACAATCATAGCTCACTGCAGCCTCCAACTCCTGGGTTCAGGCGATCCTCCCACCTCAGCCTCCTGAGCAGCTGAGACTACAGCCACACACAAGTATGCCTAGCTAATTTTTAATTTGTTTTTAGAGACAGGGGTCTTGTTATGTTGCTCAGATGGATCTTGTACTCCTGGCATCTAGCAATCCTCCCGCCTTTGCCTGCCAAAGTGTTGGGATTACAGGTGTGAGCCACTGCAACTGGCCTAATCCTTTTAATAATCTTATGAAGTAAGTATTATAATCATCATCCAATTTTAAAGATGGGGAAGCTGAATCACAAAGGAGGAGTAACTTCCCTGATATGGTTTAGCCATGTCCCTACCCAAATCTCAACTTGAATTGTATCTCCCAGAATTCCCATGTGTTGTGGGAGAGACCTAGGGGGAGGTAGTTGAATCACAGGGGCTGGTCTTTCCTGTGCTATTCTCGTGATAGTGAATAAGTCTCATGAGATCTGATGGTTTTATCAGGGGTTTCCGCTTATGTTTCTTCCACATTTTTCTCTTGCCACCACCATATAAGAAGTGCCTTTTGATGAGTTCATGTCCTTTGCAGGGTCATGGATAAAGCTGGAAGCCATCATTCTCAGCAAACTAACACAGGAACAGAAAACCAAACACTGCATGTTCTCACTCATAAGAGGGAGCTGAACAAGGAGAACACATGGACACAGGGAGGGGAACATCACATACCGGGGCCTGTTGGGGGGTCAGGGGCCAGGGAAGGGATAGCATTAGGAGAAATACCTAATATAGATGATGAATTGATGGGTGCAGTGAATCACCATGGCACGTGTGTACCTATGTAACAAATCTGCATGTTCTGCACATGTATCTCAGAACTTAGAGTACAATAATAATAATATGTATATATACATATATTTGAAAGAAGTGCCTTTTGCCTCCTGCCATGATTCTGAGGCCTCCCCGGCCATGTGGAACTGTAAGTCCAATTAAACCTCTTTTTCTTTCCAGTTTCAGGTGTGTCTTCAGCAGCAGCATGAAAACTGACTAATACATTCCCCAAAGTCACACAATAAGAAGCAGCCAGTCTGGCCCCAAAGGCTGGACTATTAGCCACTACGGTCTACTTCACTATGAGCACTAAAAGGCTTATGGCCCTCCTGACCCCCCAGCATAGGTAGTTCAAAATAAAACCAGAAATAAATCATAAAAGAATGTGAGAAAGTGCCACAGAATTTCGATCCTTTTTCTTGATGACGACCTTAATGCTTAAAAAAAAAAAAAAGCAATCTTTCCAAACATACATTTTATCTTGTATCTCCCCCATTTGGCTGGTGCCCGAAGCATGGGTTGCTCAGCCCAGCAGATAATCCAAGTATTACTTTCTTTTCCCTGTAGCCAGAACAGCCTCTACCTGAAATTTCAAGGTTGACCCAGTCTGCGATTGGTTGCTGCCGTTTGTGGAGCATGTAAGCGCTTCTTGGCTGGAAGGGGAGTGGCTTTGGCCTCAAACCTGTAAATGGCAGGAGACAGCTGCAAAATGTGGGTCTGTGCCCCTCCCTCAGCCATGGAGGACAATCTGTGTCGATTGAGGAGAAATGAAGGAGGCTTCCGTGTGTGTGTGTGTGTGTGTGTGTGTGTGTGTGTGTGTGTGTGTGTGTTGGGAGTGGGGGATTGCCTTAGGGCTCCTTCCTGGTTTCCTTGACCCACTTCCAGTCACAGAAGCAATTTCTGGCTTCCCTTTCATTCTTGGGACGTGAGCTATAGTGTGTTCTTGGTTAATAACTATCACCAAGAGATTGTTTCAAAAAAAAAAACACCCCACTTTTCATTTCTATTATCTCTACGACAAAATACAAACAGAGCTGCAGCCTCTAACTTACTGCCTTTCCTTCACTCAACATGCAGCAAAGACTTGGGAATCCTCCCCTGGCAAGGGCCTATGCTAGGTCAAAAAAATGAATACAATTCACAGCTCCTGTTCTCAGGATGCTCAGAGTTGGAAGGGAGGAGCTATGTGCTTTATTTTCCCATTTCTATCCCCTTCCCCTGTTTCCCACCATGCTGTAGGGTAGGGACAGTATTTTCTCCCTTTCAGAACCTCCCTCTCCCAAACTTACAATGGCCCCATTGTCCTGCCCAAACCCTGGCGTTTCATGGACCTTCCATGGGTGTTTGACGATGAAAGGGCTGGAAGGAAGAGAACCAGAAAGGTTATCTAATCCAGTGGCCCCAAAAGGGCAATGCCATCCCCTGGAAGTGTTTTGAAAAACTGTGGGGGGCCAGGCGTGATGGCTCACAACTGTAATCCCAGCACTTTGGGAGGCTGAAGCAGGTGGATCACCTGAGGTCAGGAGTTCGAGACCAGCCTGGCCAACATGGTGAAACCCCATCTCTACCAAAAATACAAAATATTATCCGGGCGTGGTGGTGGGCACCTGTAATCCCAGCTATTCGGGAGGCTGAGGCAGAAGAATCACTTGAACCCGGGAGGCGGAGGTTGCAGTGAGCCGAGCTTGCACCATTGTACTCCAGCCTGGGCAACAAGAGTGAAACTCTGTCTCAAAAAAAAAAAAAAAAAAACTAAAAGAAAAAAAGAAAAACTGTGGGGCACTTTTGTTTGCTGGTGGGTGAGGCCCATGGATGCTACATGTCCCACCATGCATGGGACAGTCCTGTACAATGAAGAATTGTTCTGTATTTCACCCATCTTTCCAATGTTTCTCCAGACATTCATGTATTGAAAAACTCTGGTTATAATTTTCTGATCTTTTAAGCTCTAACTCCATATTACATAAAACCCCAAAGTATTTTTGCATGGTTTTAATATATATCGAATATTCCATGAATACAACTACTGTAAATATTGAGGAAAAACAGTACTTTATATTTCATTCCATACTTCAGTAAATAACAGTTGTTTATTGTTTAGAAAAATTACGCCACTGATGGGAACCCAACTCAGAGTCGCCAAGAAGACAACACATGGATGGATATCAGCCTGCTTGTGTAACTATTGCTTTCGTGGTGATTTTACATGAAGATCCAACATCTCTCATTGTATCTTTTTTTATGAGACAGAGTCTCATTCTGTCACCCAGGCTGGAGTGCAGTGGCGCAATCTCGGCTCACTGCAACCTCTGCCTCCCAGGTTCAAGTGATTCTTGTTTCTCAGCCTCCTGAGTAGCTGGGATTACAGGTGCGGACCACCACACCTGGCTAATTTTGTATTTTTTAGTAGAGATGGGGTTTTGCCATGTTGGTCAGGCTGGTCTCGAACTCTTGGCCTCAAGTGAGCCACCCGCCTTGGCCTCCGAAAGTGATGGGATTACAGGCATGAGCCGCAACGCTCAGCATCATTGCATCTTTTAGTGTAATGGTGGTTAGACATTTACACACTGAATACATAATATATATTATATATGTATACACACATACATGTATATATAATTTTTTTCTTTATCTGTTTAAATTATTATTAACTCATTATTGCTTTTTAAAATTATATGTGTAAGTAGTTTATATTTTTATAAATTTTGTTTCAGGATAATACGGGGGGATGTTATGAAATATTTGTTATGGAAAGAGGGCATAGGGCCTAAAACCCTGAATCTGAAGCTAGCTCAAAACTTCGTCTTTGGTCTCAATTGTTTTCAATGCATGCAAACATACCTACGTTTTAAAACTTTCAAGATTAAAAGTTTTCACCACTTCCCACAGCAATCCATTCATTAAATTATTGGTGTTGCACTTCCTTGTGGTGTGAATGAATCATCTGTTCAGTCTCCAGCAGAAATGGTGGTGTGTGTGGGACCATGTTAAATCTCAGTTCCTTCTAGAAGTAAGTTTCCTGCCTTGGAAAGGACCTTGGGGCAGTGGGAAGGTGGGTGGTGGGAACGTAGCAGCCAGAACAGAGGAGTGGACGGGGCTGCAGACAGCATGGACTTTAACTACAGGGGCCTGGGTTCTAGGCCCTGTGTGGCCCCCAATCTGTGGATGGCTCTCGGCCGCATGCACAAAATGAGGTGTCTGGACTGAGTCCATCTAGTGCAATCTGTGATTCTGTGACTGGTTCTTTGCTCTGCAATGTGGTTCATGGTAGTCACAGCAGTTAAAGAATTGAGTCAAAGAGTCTAAACTCCAAATCCTAGCTCTTCTACTTAATAACAGGGTGACCTTCAGCAAATAACCTCTTTAAGGCTCAGTGTCCTTGCCTGAAATACAAGGATCAAAAAAAGCACCCACTTAATAGAGCACTGTGTGCATTGAACAAGACAAATGATGCAGTACGTCTGGCACCTTATAAACATGCACGGTACTGTGGCTGTGCCCACCACTGGGGACTCCTGGCTTACTCAGCCAAGGTGCTTCTGTTATGATGTCTGTTGTGATGGGGCATGACAGGTGCCCACATTGATCCCCAGTGGCACTCACACCACAGGTGGCTTGGACTAATCCTATACCAAGCAGCCTGGTCTGATATTTCTGATCTAAGTAGCCAGCAAGCCCTGAACCAAAGCTGAAATCTTCTTACACGCCAGGCCACAGATGCTCACCTAATACTAAGATAAAACATCAGCTTTAAACAAAGGGGCTATGTTGATGGCATTTGCCTACTAAAACAACAGGTTGATATGAGCTCACTGTCTTAGTTTGGGCTGCTATAACAAAGCACCAGTAAATAGCCTGGGTGGCTTATCAACAACAGACATTTATTTTTCAGAGTTGTGGAGGCTGGAAGTCTGAGATCAGGGTGCCAGCATGGTCCTGTTCTGGTGAGGGTTTGTTTCCTGGTTGCAGATGACTAGCTTCTCACTGTGTGCTTACATGACAGAAAGAGCGTGAGAGAACTCTCTGAGGTCTTTCTTTCTTTTTCTTTCTTTCTCTTCTTTCTTCTTTCTCTTCTTTCTTTCTTCTTTCTCTTCTTTCTTTCTCACTCTCCCTTTCTTTCTTTTTCTTTCTTTCCTTTTTTTTTTGACAGAGCCTCACTCTGTCACCCAGGGTGGAGTGCAGTGGCACAGTCTCGGCTCACTGACACCTCTGCTTCCTGGGTTCAAGCAATTCTCCTGCCTCAGCCCCCCGAGTAGCTAGGATTACAGGCACCCGCCACCATACCCGGCTAATTTTTGTATTTTTAGTAGAGATGGGGTTTCTCCATGTTGGCCAGGCTGGTCTCAAACTCCTGACCTCAAGTGACCTGCCCACCTTAGCCTCCCAAAGTGCTGGGATTATAGGCGTGAGCCACCATGCCCAGCCTTGGGTCTCTTTTTTCTTTCTTTTTTTTTTTTGAGACAGAGTTTCGCTCTTGTTGCCCAGGCTGGAGTGCAATGGCGAGATCTTGGCTTACCGCAACCTCCGCCTCCCGGGTTCAAGCGATTCTCCTGCTTCAGCCTCCCGAGTATCTGGCTGGGATTACAGGTGTGCACCACCACGCCCAGCTAATTTTGTATTTTTAGTAGAGATGGGCTTTCTCCATGTTGGTCCTAGGCTGGTCTTGAACTCCTGACCTCAGGTGATCCGCCCGCCTTAGCTTCCCAAAGTGCTGGGATTACAGGTGTGAGCCACCGTGCCCAATCTGGGGTCTCATATTTTATAAGGGTACTAATTCCATTCCCTTGGGTTCCACCTTCATGACCTAATTACCTCCCAAAGTCTCCCCTCCTAATACCATCACCTTGGGGTTAAAATTTCAGCGTGTGAATTTGGAGGGCAGACACAAGCATTCAGTCCATGACACTGTTCATTTATTTAACAAATAGTTTTCTATGCCTACTGTGTACTCAGAGCTGTGCTAGATGCTGGGGGCTCCATAGTGAGAAGAACAAACATCTATGTACAAAGCAGAGTGGTTGCTGCTGTCTTCTGCTTGGCTAGCAAAGACACAAAGAGCTTCACAGTAATATCTGCGTGGCACTTAGGAGTTTTCAAGAAACTTGCCCAACAAACCCTTGAGGAGTCATTATAGCCCACATCACACAGATCAGGAAACTGGGGCTCCAGAAGTTTGTAAGTGGTCCAAGGTCACCTGTGTAACTTGCAAAGGGAAGAATAGAAACTGACACCCAGGCCAGTCTAGCACAGTTCCTACTATGCCACACTGCCTCCCACACTGCACAGCGGTGGTCTGGATGGAACTTAATCTCCATGCCAGTGCTAATAAAAACACACATGGCAAGGTGTGGTGGCTCACGCCTATAATCCTATCACTTTGGGATTGAGGATTGGAGGATTGGAGGCTGAGGGGAGAGGATTGCTTGAGGCCAGGATTTTGAGACCAGTCTGGGCAACAGAGAGACTTAGTTTCTACAAAAAAATAAAAAATTAGCAGGACATGGGAGTATGCACCTGTAGTCCTAGCTACTCTGGAGGGCTGAGGCAGGAGAATCTCGAGCCCAGGAGTTACCACTGTTACCTCGAGGTAACAGTGAGCTATGATGGCACCACTGCACTCCAGCCTGGGCGACAGAGTCGGACCCTGTCTCTAAAAAACCAAACCAAACCAAACCACACACACATGCTCTTCCTGAATCAAATTGAGAGCAGCTTATCCTGGGGGCCCTAACCAAGCTAAATGCTCTTGGGATGGTCGGGATCCTGTGCCTTTGTTCCCCCCGCACCAGGTTGGCTCAGAGGGTATCAGGGAGTGAAGAGCCAGGAGAAACCCCAAGGCTGTGACACCCTCAGGAAGCAGCTGGACCCAGCAGATGTGCAGACCAGCTTAGCTTTGCTCCAGATGGAGGCTCTTTTGTCTCAGTAGCCTCATCAGTGCAACGGGCATGACGCCTTCTCCGCCTGCAGGCAGGGGCTGGGCAGGTTGGCCCTATGTGGTCCCATCTCACTCTGAGAACCTCATGTACAAGGCTGTGACTCAACGTTTTCTTCATGGCTGAGAGGTGCTAATTGGTTCACACGCTGTTTTCCAAGATGTGAGCTGGGAAGGGCTAGCTCTTCTGGCGTATCCCATACCCGAGTATTCTCTAGGGTTCTTCACAATCCTGGGACAGTAAAGAAGGGAAAAGTGGTAGGAAATGCGAGTAAGGCATGGAAATTACAAATCCATTGGCTACCAAAATTACTCAAGCTGAAGAAGGCAGACAACTTTAGGAGATGAAAGCTCTAGGGAATTTTCCCTATCAATCTGGGGCAAGTTTATGTGTCTGTCTGTCCCTGACCGGTGTAGAGAACAAGTCCTGGTGGTTCCATCTTCCCAGGATTGTAGAGGGTAAGTACAAAGACATCGTTACTTCCAACCAAGTGAGGCTAAGACCAGGTCTTAGGAGTCTGAACCCCTCATAACCAGGAACACTTGGACCTCAACTACCATTTGTTCTTACTTATTCCCTTACAGGGATTAAAGGTAAGGCAGCACCTAGAAGACTCGATAGGCAAAAATTGTGTGTGCAGGTGTGTGTGTGTGTGTGTGTGTGTGTTGGGGGGGGGGCTTCCGGAGTGAATGGGTTCTAGGGCACATTTTATCTGGCAAGCTGGGGACTTCCCAAGAATAAACGTCCCCAGCCATGAGCTGGTCAGGCCTGTGCCCTGGGAGAAGAGGGCTGAGGCACACACTCTTTATTAATAGCCCAAGCATCCCAGGACCCTTTTTCCCCAAGCCATTTCCATTTGTGGTTCCAATGGGGTTTTGTTTTTGGTTCTCATGAGTTATTTTCTGCCCTCTGCCCTCTGCCTTCTGCCCTTTTGCTGTGGGTCAGCTGGAGAGCTGAGCAAAGGGCCCGACTGGTGGCATGGCAGTGCTCTGAGAAGAGAGAAGGGCCAGGGGATGGGTGGTGGCTTTTTGCAGAAAGCCCCCATTTTGTGCTTGGTGGGGCCCCCAGGGTTATGGCTGCAGAGAACTGGGACTGATTGGAGCTAACTAAGCATTCAGGGAATATCCAAGTGGAGATGCAGGGGAGGGGCTTTTGGGCAAAGCCAAGGCCTAAGGCTCATCCCCAGGGGAAGGGACAAATGTGGTCCCTCTGCATAAGAAAAACACTCTCAGAAGTCTGCAGCCCAGAATTCCCCACACAGGCTGCTAAGGTTGTCAATGTGGGCTCAGCTGTACCTATTTTCTGTCTTCCTTCTCCCTGGGAGCCAAGGTTTTCAATATTGACAAGAGACTCCATTGCACTGGTTCATTCACAGCATTACAACCAAATATCTTATCAACTTTAGGTCAGTTTTAAGAAAGAGAGAGTATCGGGCTGGGTGCGGTCGCTCACGCCTGTAATCCCAGCACTTTGGGAGGCTGAGGCGAGGGGATTGCCTGAGGTCAGGAGTTCGAGACCAGCCTGGCCAACACAGTGAAACCCTGTCTCTACTAAAAATACAAAAAATTAGCTGGGCGTGGTGGCAGGCACCTATAATCCCAGCTCCTCGGGAGGCTGAGGCAGAAGAATTGCTTGAACCCAGGAGACAGAGGTTGCAGTGAGCTGAGATGGCATCATTGCACTCCAGCCTGGGCAATAAGAGTGTCTCAAAAAAAAGAGTATCTTGTGACTTAATAGCCTTATTATTTGATAAGGGTGGTGAATATGTATTATGCCTGTTCCCCACTACCCCTCAGGGATTTTGGACAAATAAATATATTTAACAAGTGTTTTCTTGCTTTGAAAGAAAGAGTACAGCTGACTGCAGGACCTCCAGGGACAGAGGTATCCGGGGAGTTGGGAATGGGGCATGACATCTAAGAGAAAAGTCAGCCCTAGTTTTTCAAGTTCGGGAGGGATTGATTCACTAGGAGTTGGAGCTTGAAGCTGTGAAAGTGGATGAGATCTTTGAGAAACAAAGCACTGAAAGCACAAAATGTGAGTGAGGATTAAACCTTGAGATCACATTGAGGAGGGAAAGAAGCGGGGGAATGAGTCATGCTTCATTCAACTTGGAATCTCTTGAACTAGCCCAGTGCCTAGAATGCACTTAATAAATGGTGCTGAAAGAAAAAAAGAAGAAAAAAGGAAGGAAGGAAGGGAGGAAAGAAGGAAGGAAACAAAAGCCATTAGAAGGCTGAGGGGACTAGCATTTAAGTTCCACACTGTGTCATGCACTTCAAATGCATTACCAAGCTTAATTCTCCCTACAACTCTGTGAAATGGAAATGATTATTCTCATGCTACCCATGGAGGTAGTGGAGGTCAGATTTGATCCCAGCTTGTGTGACTCCCCTGACCTTTCACCATATTCCCTTTAGGAGAAAAACCGAGTACAGTTTCTGAGAGTGTAAGGGTAGAGAAAATTGATAGTTCAAAGAGGAAGCAAGCGCAAACCAAAATTTGTTCAAGATTGGGGTGACGGGAGCATTTCTTTAGACAAAGTGGATGGCACTCCCAAGATAGGAAGAAATTAAAGATTCTGGGTAGGGTTGGGGGGAGTTGCATTTAAAAGAAAGTATTGCTCAGTTCTACTTCACAGCACTTCCAATTTAATTCTACATTTAAAATATGTGTTTAGTGTCTGCACTTTAGTGAGGAAAGGCAGGGAATGGCATTTCAGGCAGGGGGAGTCACACAGACAAAGGTATGAAGCCCTAAAATGCATGACTTTGTGAACAAATGTGAACCTGAAAGAGCCAATATTTCAAGATGGATCCCCAATGGCTAACTGGGCCTAAATTCAAACAGAGCAAAATGGCTACTGGATAACTAGAGGTCACACACATACTCGGAGTTTCCCCAAAACCCATACCTCTGTTCGATGTGGGGACTGACAAATCTCACCTGAACCAATCAATCAGAGCCCACCTGCCTTGATCAATCGGGGTTTAGCTGTATGGAACAATTAAAATTCAGTCGTACTGACCAGTCAGAACTAAGCGAGTGTCAGTCCTTCATTTGTATAAACGGACCTGATTGGGAACCTGGGTGGGAAATTTGCTGTGAAACCGGAACCCTTCCTTTGTTCTCTGGAATGTACCTTGGTCTTACATGGGCTGCTGCATCTCTCAGGTTTGCCACCTGTTCACTGGAATGAAGTCTCTTTCCTCCAAATTCCTTTTCAGAGAACTCTTGTTCACACCTGTGTATCAGTTAAGATTGTATTTAGCAGGTAGTAGCAGAAAACTCTAACCTAGTGGCTTAAATAAGTAAGGGGCTCATCTTTCTCATTTAACTGGGAGACCAGAAGGAAAGAGCCCAGGGCTGGGAGACTCTTTGTATCCTCTTGCTCTGACATCTTGGATCAAGGCTTTTGTTGTCTTCATCACATGATGGTTGCTGCACCTGCAAACATTATGTCAGAGTTCCAGGCAGGAAGAAGGGGGAAATGATGGACAAAGTTTTGCCCATTTATTTTGGTGGGAAGCCTGTCTCTTGGACTTCTGCCTGCCTCAAACCCATCAGAGTGATGTCACTTGGTACCTTACCTGCAGGGGAGAGTGGGAATTGGGGTATTTCTCTTTTCACCCTTTGCAGCAGAGGAAGGTAATATGGAAGGGGACTGGAATGAGTGTTCATCAAGTCAAGCCATGGGTTCTGCCACAGTATGCATAGAGGAAATGTGAGTGGTCCAGAGTAGACAGAAGACACAAGAAGCAACTGGAAATGGGGCTGGTAGATGGGAACTGAATTGTCAGTGCCACATTGCTACAGGTTTGGCTAAAACCACTTCTAGAAAGCCAGGCCCTGGAAGCTACAGGAAGGCTGTCAGTCCATTAACTATGACTCTGGGTTTGGTTAGTGGCGAAAAGTGTAAGTATATCTTTCCAGAAGGGTGTATAATTCTCAGGAGAATTTCATGGGTGAACATGTTTTCTTTCTTTCCCACCATATTCCTTCTCTTGCCTATCTACCCATTCACTCATGCATCCATTTATCCATCCATGCATCCATCCATCCATCCATTTATCCATCCATCCATCCATCCAACCATCCATCCATCCATCCATCCATCCATTTATCCATCCATGCATCCATCCATCCATCCATCCGTCCATCCATCCATTTATCCGTCCATCCATCCATCCATCCATCCATCCATTTATCCATCCATTCAGCATCTGTTATCTATGTGCCAGATGTATTATCTATGTGCTAAGCTTGTATATCCTCTCTCTGTCTCTCTTTTCCCCCGGCTAGGCTGAGACCTTTTCCAAATGTGGGAGCCTAAGGATGAAGAATTATCTAAGACAGTTGCTATTTCAGTTCAGAGCTGGAAGCTAAAAATGTTCGAATGGAAAAAAAAGTTTAAAAATATGGATGTGTATTTTTCTAAAATCCCATTAAGCTGTCAAGGGCCCTCACTGTGTGTTTCCTTTCCCATCGTTGCTAATCGGCAAGGTATGTGTGTGCCCTAAACAGAGGGGTAGCCAGCCTCCTCCTCCTCCTCCTCTTCTCCCCACCTCTTTCTGCTGCTGCTGGTGCTTGAGTCTTGGGAACCCAGGAGCCAGGCCTCCTGTCCCTGGAGGACCGCTGACTGGAACAGCAGCCTCGCTTCTCCATGGAGGCTGGGATGCCAGTACTACCCTCCTCCAAAATGCATCTAGACTGCCTGGGTTCAAATCCTGCCCTCATCACTGACTAGATGTATAACTTTGAGTGCTTTATTCCTCTGGGTCTCAGCTTCCTCAGGTGTGAAATAGGGATTGCAAACATTACCTACATCTTAGTGTTGCTGTGAGATGAAACGTGCAGAACACATAATGCAGGGCTTGCGTTCATGTTTATCATTGCTCTTCATTCCTTCCCTGAATTTAGAGAGTCTTCGCATAAAAGAACGAGGAGAGAGACCTCAAGGTTTCTTTATCCAATCACATAATTTTAAGATGCGAAAATGAAATAGAAGAAACTTTCTCGTCACTTCCCACTTCATGGGAACATGGCTCCAGTGTCCTTTCCGCAGGAACACAGCTTGGGTCGCTCAGCCTCCTCTCCTGTCAGCCCACCAAACCCTCGCACAAAAAATAATCTATATTTGCATTGTTTAAAAATGTGTCCCTTGGCTGGGCACGGTGGCTCACGCCTGTAATCCCAGCACTTTGGGAGGCTGAGGTGGCCAAATTACCTGAGGTCAGTAGTTAGAAACCAGCCTGACCAACATGGTGAAACCCCATCTCTATTAAAAATGCAAAATTAGCCAGGCATGCTGGTGCACGCCTGTAGTCCCAGCTACTCGGGAGGCTGAGGCAGGAGAATCACTTGAACTCGGGAGGTGGAGGTTGTGGTGAGCCAAGATTGTGCCATTGCACTCCAGCCTGGGTGACAGAGCGAAACTCCGTCTCCAAAAATAAATAAATAAATAAAATGGTGTCCCTTAGTGCTGTCCCATCCTCATGGCCTGTCTTGTTGTGCTAGATATACCCATCCCCGCAGCCACTGCAGACAGAAAGCCAGAGCAAGAACTGCTTAGGAGAGAGATTCTGATGGTGGGGACGAGAGTGGTAAAAGGAGTGGCACTGGGTTCTTGGCTTACATTCAAGGGAGTATCTTTGAACCCTCAAGCCCTGGGATTATGTGATTCTAATATTTATATAAATACAGAGTATCATTTCCAATCAGATGAGAAGTTGAGGATTCAGGTTCTGGGGGTATTACTGTTATTCTCACATACAGATCCGGTATGACTAGGAGTAGCCTTTCCAGAAGGAAGTGCAAGTGTTCCTCAAACATTTCACCAGCCCATGACATCACCTCTGGCCTTTTCTCCGTGTTGGCTGCTTAGAAATCAAGTTGACTAACTGTTGGTGCCTAGAAGGCTATGTGTGCTATGAGGGATCACAAGGCGGGTGCCTCAAGATCCCAGCTTTTGAGAAATTTGCAATGTGCTTGCGGAGATAAGCTATAAACAGGTGAATAGTGAAATGACAGCAGATGTAAATGACGGTTCAGGACATCCCAGCATAGCACAGGATGAGGACCAAATGGACCGTAGTTGCTGTGGAAAGGACACTAGGCTGGGAGACAGGGCTCTGCTCCTGGGACCCCTGACATCTTGCTCTGTTACCTGAGTAATCGTTGACCTCTCTGAGCCTCAATGTCCAAGTCTGTGAAATGAGGGGCTGGCCTGGACCCCTACCTCCCTGTATTCACCCCTCTGGGTCCCCCACTCTTCTTGTTCTATCGATACATCTGGGCCTGGATGCTCACTCCCTACCTCGCCTCTGCTTTTCCTGTTCTGTGGGCTCTGAATATCTGCTCCATAAGTTCATGGCTGGGGCAGGGCTTGTTATGGAAGACCATGACAGGATCAGTGGCAGGACATGTGGTGTGGCCTTTCATCGTACCTCAACCTCTCTACACCAGAACATTCACAGTGGAAATAGGGAAGAGAAAGGGGTCCTGGGGTGAGGGGTGGACACCATATGGGCTGAGAGACTCGGGGTTAGGAGAGTTGAGGACAGGGTCTGCTGAGTGAGTGTGCAGGCCCAGGGCCCAGATTCACTGGGTAAGACACTCAGAGAGCAAGAACAAAAGCACTTTTATTTTGGGGAAATTACTCTCAGAAAAACACTCTGAACTTGAAAACAGCTTGAAACAGCTATCCTCATTTATTTTACAAGAAATGAGTGTTCAAATTCTGGCACTTCACTGTGGGACATTGGAGGTCTGTGAGCAGCGGTGGTGGCTGACTTTTCAGCACAGCTTCCTTGGTGCAGGTCTTCTGGGATGCTTGGACCACATTCCTTATTAATGAAAATCCTATCTATCCATCAGGAAGTTTCAGGCTGCAAGGCCCATAATATCTTACTACTGGTAATGGGTTACGGCATACTGACATTTACTATCATGCTTAACAAGTCTGGAAGCAAGCATTGGTTACAATTGTTTAGTGGCTCATTGATTTCAGCAGGGTATGGACTGCTTCTGTCCTTTCTCTCTTCTACCCTTATGGGAACAAGATGGTGGCCACAGTTCCAAGCACCAACTCGTCACATGAGACACCATGAGCAGAAGTAGGCAGGGGTCAAAGGTCACTTCCCTTCACATCTCTCTTTGATCAGAAGGAATATCTTTCCCAAGCAGAATTCCTTCATGTTTCATTGGCCAGAATGGGACCAGACGCCAACCTTAGACCAATCACTGGCAAAAGCAATTGCTTTGTTGATGTAGATCATGTATTCTTAATGAGGGTGATGTCACCCTCAAGGGGGTGAAAATTGGTTCTTGGGGGCAAAAAAAAAAATCATACTGTGCCAAGTATGGTGGCCCACACCTGTAATCCCAGCCCTTTGGGAGGCTGAGGCAGGCAGATCACCTGAGGTCAGGAGTTCAAGATCAGCCTGGCCAACATGGTGAAACCATGTCTCTACTAAAAATACAAAAATTAGCCAGGCATGGTGGCACGCAGCTGTAATCCCAGCTTCTAGGGAGGCTGAGGCAGGAGAATTTCTTGAGCCTAGGAGGTGGAGGTTGCAGTGAGCCAAGATCATGTCACTGCACTCCAGCTTGGGGGACGCGAGTGAAACTCCATTTCAAAAAAAAATCACATTTTTTATGTATAAAGTACAGATATGCATAAAGTACATAAACATACAGTGTATCTGAAGTATTAAATTTTCATGGGAGGAAGCAATCAGGAAAACATATCTAAAAAGGCTCCTTAAGGGGACGGACTGAGTTAAATCAATTATGATTCATTGCTGGCACCTGGGGACTTTTCTTTTGGCCAGGAAGTCTGGGGAATGATGGCCAAACAGGCAGCAACAATATCTGCCACATCCTGCCTAGAAAGAAACATGCTTTGTGTGAAAATCTGGGTATGTGTGTAGGTGTGAGACTTCAAAGTGTGCTTGATTAAAACGTGTCATCACTGACCTGCTTTCAAAGATGGGTGGGCTGGCCAACTGCATGGTTCAATCTGGGCACAAGCTGAGGACCAGAGGTGAATTTCTGGGGACAAAAATGGGAATTGACAAGGGGCTATAGGAGAAAGAATAAAGGCATCTAGAGGAGATTTGTATTATATAAGGTTGGTTGTGCGGTGAATGACTGTGTTAAGTGACTCAAGTTATTTCTCCCCCTTTGGCTGAGGCTCTAGGTCATCAGCACTACTCCAGTGAACCCTGACCATGCTGCTTAGTGAAAAAGCTGCAGGGATCCATCTTTTTGAGTAGATGGCTAACTCCTGCCAATGTGAGGGATTCAGGGGCACAAGGATGTCTTGCCTTCTTCCATGCCTGAGTCCATCCTGAAATCCTCACACCTTCTTTTTCCTCCGATGGTTTAGTCCTTCTCTTCCATTTATTATACCACTGTGTTTCCAATTCCCATCCTGCTTAATACAACCGGTATTCACCCCTCAGGAGAAGTTGTTTAGCTAACTAAGCATTCTTTGTTGGTAGTTGGGTGAGCTGAGGCAAATGCACTGTTGACCTGGAGTCACTGTGGGATTTCCCACGGTTCTGTATCCACAACCACTTTCACACCCTCTGCTTTGGTTTTCCTGGAGTCTTGTCTTACAGACCTTAAATGCTGCCTGGGTGTTTGCTTTTTTTTTTGGCCTCTCTGGGCTCCTGGGAGGTAGGGACAGGTAGTCTCATACAACCATAGGAACCTGATTTCTGAAGGAGGACAAAGGGATGATGATCTCCTCTGGTACTGGAAACCTGGTGGACCTAAGTTAGTGCTCCCTGCCAGAGATGGATTATAAGTATCCTCACTCCTTGACCTGGTCCCCACAGCCCACATTTACGACTCCTCTGGCTAATTGCACTAAAAATCAAAAGCAGTTATCTCCAGGGAATGGGTGTGTAGGTGATGTTCACTCTCCTCTTCATGCCTTTCTATAGATCAGTGGTTCTCAGCCCTGGCTGTATGATTACATCACCTAGGCAGCTTTTAAGTCAATATTGCTGCCCAGGTAGCCGCCCAGGTCAATGAAATCAGAATCTGTGGAGATGGGACCCAGGTTTCAGGGTTTTTGTAAACTCCTGTGTGACTGTGATGTGCCACCAGCATAGAGAGGCTGTAGGCTGTGTGTGTGTGTATGTGTGTGTGTGTGTGTGTGTGTGTATGGGTGTATTTTTCTCACAGTGAGTATACACTTTTTTTTTTTTTTTTTTTGGTAGAAATAGGGTCTCACTTTGTTGCCCAGGTTGGTTTCAAATTCCTGGCTTCAAGCAATCCTTCCATCTCAGCCTCCCAAAGTGCTGGAATTAAAGGCATGAGCCACCATGCCTGGCCTATTTTTAAGACCTTAAAAGAAAATATAGCAATTCTCAATCTGAAGAGAAAAATTAACCCTATTTCTGTTCAATTCTTTAAAAAATAATTAGCCCCTCTTATTTTTCTGAAACTTGAAAAAAATTTACTAGAAAGGAAAACAGTACATGTGGTGAGAAAGTTTACATTTTAAGGGCTGAGCATGATGAGAAATCAAGTAAGAAATGAAAACAGGCCAGGCGCGGTGGCTCACACCTGTAATCCCAGCACTTTGGGAGGCTGAGACGGGTGGATCATGAGGTCAGGAGATCGAGACCATCCTGGCTAACACGGTGAAACCCCGTCTCTACTAAAGATACATAAAAAATTAGCCGGGCGTGGTGGCAGGCGCCTGTAGTCCCAGCTACTCAGGAGGCTGAGGCAGGAGAATGGCGTGAACCCGGGAGGCGGAGCTTGCAGTGAGCTGAGATCGCGCCACTGCACTCCAGCCTGGGCGAAAGAGTGAGACTTCGTCTCAAAAAAAAAAAAGAGAAAAAAAAAAGAAATGAAAACAAAGTCAAGTCATAATTTTAAATGAATATAATTTATATTTCATTTCTTTAGTGAAGTAACTGTTTTCATGGCATTGTGTTTGTTTGTTTTGTTTTGTTTTGTTTGTTTTGTTTTTTGAGATGGAGTCTTGCTCTGTCGCCCAGGCTGGAGTGCAGTGGCGCGATCTCAGTTCACCGCAACCTCCGCCTCCCAGGTTCAAGCAATTTTCCTGCCTCAGCCTCCCATGCAGCTGGGACCACAGGAACCCACCACCACACACAGCTAATTTTTGTATTTTTAGTAGAGACAGGGTTTCACCATGTTGTCCAGGCTGGTCTTGAACTCCTGACCTCAGGTGATCCACCAGTCTCAGCCTCCCAAAGTGCTGGGATTACAGGCATGACCCACTGCACCTTGCCTGTTTTCATGGCATTTTTGTAAGGAGAAAATGATGGAAAAGAAATTTGAAATGAGTAACAAATCAATTGAATATACAGTTTCTGGTGGGTGCTGACATATGTCCTTGCCATGTACTGATCTTTAAATAGTTTTTTTATTTCTGCACCAACCCATGTGATAGTTGTTTCTGGTGAAAGCTGAGATTATTGTAACTGCATGTTTTGTACCAGATGTGGTTGTAAAAGTAGTGGTTGCTTGGACTGAGGTCATTCAAAGAAGAAAATAGAAAAGTAGAGGGTAAGGAAACATGACTGAAAATAGGTCCCTATGGTGTCATGCTCCTGTGTGCCCTTCCACTTTCCTTGGCTGAGGCCTGTCCTTGGAAGCAGCTGTTGCGAATAGGTAACTTGGACAAGTCAATCAAGGGCTCCCCTACCCAGCTCACTAAGAGCAGACATGGTAATGGTCTTCTTGGTTTGGGACTCACTGTCCCTGGAGGCTGAGGCCATGAGGCTCTAACCCTAGGAAGAGTTGGCAAAGCCCTGAGCCTATGAGCCTCTCAGGGCAGCAGGTGGGTGATTTACAGGGGAGGAGTCCAACCAAGCTTTCCAGTAAGATCAACCTGTGGCTTGATTCAGGACAGCTATGTGTTGGTGACCAACACGACAGTCATAGGTAGGTCTTCATTTCTCTAAAACTTGCTTTTTAATGTTATCATGGGAGGCTGTATTAAAAAAGAACTTACCTAAAAATTGTTTTAAAGATAACAGAGTGAAAAATAATACCTGGCTGTATCAAGGCCCTATCTGGGCCGAGTGTTGCTATATCATATGCAAAGTAGCCCAACAGCTTATGTGCTGAAATGTCAAACATAATTATACAGTGACCTAATTTCACAGTCCTAATCTCCTTAATAATAATAGGATTCCTCACATTCATGTGAAGTGGCAGAGATCTTTCTTGTCAAAGAGATTTAATATATATTCATTAATCCGTATTTTTCTTTCTTATAACTATTCTCATATATTTTCCCAAGAATGTTCTCTCTTAAGGCCCTCAAGGGAAGAAACCATGCTATTGCTGTTTCTCTTCAAGAAGTCTCTAGGGCGGGGTGTGGTGGCCCACGACTGTAATCCCAGCACTTTGGGAGGCCCAGGCAGGCAGATCACCTGAGGTCAGGAGTTCAAGAAACCTTGTCTCTACCAAAAACACAAAAATTAGCCGGGCGTGGTGGTGTGTGCCTGTAATCCCAGCTACTCAGGAGGCTGAGGCAGGAGAATCTATTGAACCCTGGAGGCAGAGGTTGCAGTGAGCCGAGATGGCGCCACTGCACTCCAGCCTGGGTGACAGAGCGAGACTCCGTCTCTAATTAAAAAAAAAAAAAGAAGAAGAAGTCTCTAATATGTTGAACTGCACACAGTTGGTGCCTAATGACTACATGATTGACCAGCCAATGTGATCACCAGATCACCAGCACGTTGCTGCAGCATTCACTGTACTAAATGTCAAAATGACTAGAGTTGAGATTATAGTCAGAGCCAGAAGGATGTTGAGGGACCATCTGGGATGCGATCTAGCCCAGTGCCCTAGTTTTACAGAAACTGAGACACAGAAAGGCCAAGCAACTTGCTAGTAAATATATGTTAAAAAAGGACAATCCAAATATACATTTCACCAGGCTGCTGCCACCTGCTCCACTGTTCCCTGCAGGGACAGAGCCTGGCAGAAAAGTTAACAAGTTTGGATTATTAAACTCCATTTCAGGGGAAAAAAGATGTCTGTGTATTAACTGAAGAAGGGCACGTTGGTTCCTCTGCAACAATTAGGACACTTGGCAACAAAAAGGAGTGTGAGGCTGCCATCATTTTACTTTTTTAAAAATTGGACTAACTAGCTTAGCTATTAGGATGACATCCTCCAGTGTAGGCCCTTTCTATGGGGAGAAAATGAAGACACCCCATTACCAGCTGCCCTCCCAAATGACCCACATAGCATTTCTAGGGTATACCTGACACTTGACCCACCAGAGGCTTCCAGGAACCCAGTGAAAGCAAGCAAGCAGGCCTGCATGGGCTGGGCCAGAGAGGGGCCACCCTGGGTGACAATCATGCTTTCCCTTGGCCCCTTGTCCTTGTTACGTATATCCAGTTCAGAGGGACCTTGGTGTCCCTCTTAGAGGAACCTGGGCAGCATTTTGGATACAACATCCAGAAAGTGAAACCACTGCCTCCATGTGGGTGTACTGTGAGGTGTGATCCCCTCTGTGGAGCTCCTAGGCAGGAGGGCTCCCCTCACCACCCGCTGCCCTGCCACGCCCCCTCCTCCCTCTCATTTTCCTGTGCTCTTTGCAGCAGCCACTTGCTACTCAACAGCTGTGACTTTCTGCCTGCTTTCTGTTCTGCTCGGCTGTGGCTAATTTTACTGCCCCCACCTGCACCCCAGGTCCTTGCTCTGGGGCCTGCCCATCTTTGCCTTTACTCGCCCCAGCCAGCCCACCAGAGCTGATGTTCACAGGCTCCTGCATCCCCTCCCGCCCCTCATGAGAGCTCACCCTGCCAACCCGGAGCAGCAAGCAAGCAAGACTTAAGCAAGATACACTTCTTTTTCTTTTTAAGCCAATTTTTATTGTGATAGAACTCACATTTTTTAAAAAGGGGGCTGAGGTGCTTGGTGCAGTGGCTTATGTCTGTAATCCCAGTATTTTGAGAGGCCAATGCAGGAGGATCACTTGAGCCCAGGAGTTTTAGACCAGCGTGGGAAACAGAGCGAGACTCCCTGTGTACAAAAAATTTAAAAACTAGCTGGGCGTGGTGGCATGTGCCTGTAGTCCTAGCTACGTGGGAGGCTGAGGTAGGAGGATCCCTTGAGCCTAGGAGTTTGAGGCTGCTCCCTGCAGGGCGTGGCCTATTTGGAACAAGACACTCAGTCATTATGTGTTGGGTGGATAAGGAATTGAAATGCCTCTGTATCTCTATTATCAGCAACTTTGAGCCATTTTCAGGGTTGTGTCTCCCTCTAAATATAAGCTGCTGATAACAATTCCTTTTGAATCTGCACATAAGTTTTCTGTATGGTGTCCATATTGTTTCACTCAGCCCTTAGGTGCCTCAAATTTTCATGATCATCTCTAGGTCACCAAGGTAGAAATACTGTGGTCAGTTATTTCAAAGGACATTTCAGAATGTAGTTGGTCATCCTGGGAAGGGTAGTAGACAATAGAGCTTGCAGCTGTGTGTGGTGGTTCATGACTGTAATCCCAGCACTTTCGGAGGCTGAGGCAGGTGGATCACTTAAGGCCAAGAGTTTGAGACCAGCCTGGGCAACATGGTGAAACCCTGTCTCTACAGAAAAACACAAAAATTAGCCAGGCATGGTGGTGCATTCCTGTAGTTCCAGCTACTTGGGAGGCTGAGGTAGGAAGATTGCTTGAGCCTAGGAGGCAGAAGTTGTGAGTGAGCTGAGATCGCGCCACTACACTCCAGCCTGGGCGACAGAGCCAGACCCTGTCTCAAAAAAAGAAACAAAAAAACAGCACAGAGCTTGGCACAGGGATGTGAATACTATGGTGGGCAGGAGTGAAAGCAGGACTCAGACCCAGAAGATAAGATTGTGGAGGTGGGGTCTGGCTGTGGACTGAAGCCAAGGAGGACTCAGAGTGATGGTGTTGGCCTCCTGGGACCAGGAAGCTGGGGACAGAGGCTCAGGCTCAGGCTGAAGTCACAACCAAACACAGAGCTCTAGGACCTAGAACCAGGGCAGCCTGGAAAACCAGGCTGCAGCAGAACAGGAGAGGCAGGAGTCAGACCATGGCCAGAAGGGAGCTGCTGATTCTGAGGCTAACAGAGACCAGGAAGATTCTTCAACTACGGATTTTAAAAAGGCCCTGATGGCCGGAGTTAGTGGCTCATGACTGTAATGCCAGCACTTTGGGAGGCCAAGGTGTGTGGATCGCCTGAGGTCAGGAGTTCGAGACCAGCCTGGCAAACATGCTGAACCCCTGTCCCTACTAAAAATACAAAAATTAGCCGGGTGTGGTGGTGGACGCCTATAATCCCAGCTACCTGGGAGGCTCAGACAGGAGAATCGCTTGAACCAGGAGGTGAAGTTTGCAGTGAGCTGAGATCATGCTACTGCACTTCAGCCTGGGCAACAAAGCAAGACTCCTTCTCAAAAAAAATTAAATAAATAAATAAAAAGGCCCCGAGGACACCTTCTGGGCCAGAACCAAGATCTCCTACTACCGCTGCTTGGACCAGCCACTTGGCTCCTGCAGGAGGGTGGCCAGTCTGGGAAGAAGATTTACAGCTTGCCAAGCAAGCCAAAAGGTTGGGGGGAAGGAAAATGACCAAGAGGGGCCACAGATATTAGGCCACATTTTAGCCTCACTTTCCACAAAATGCCTAGCACAGTTCTTGTCAAATGAAAGGTGTTCATCAAGCGTTCATTCTCCTCCACCCAGAGTTGATGCTGGCCTGGGAGGGCTGACACTGAGTCTGGGGCATCCACTGTCTGCTGGGGTAGTCCCTCCCATACTGCCTCCATAGTACCTTCTCTCACCTTGTCGGGCTTAGGAGGAGAGGTGGTCAGGAGTGGGAGACTGACCTTCACTGGCCTATGGCCTGTCCTATCACCCTGCTCAAGATGGTCCTTAGGAGTGGGGGCATGGCGTGGCTGCCCATCCAAATTGTGTGATTTGAGAGTCAGGAAGGCCAAGGCCCAGATGACCTGCTCCTCCTGGGTGCCATGGATTTGGAAATGGCCCCATTACAGAATCAAGAAAAGCAGGGAGCTGGGTGCGGTGACTTAAACCTGTAATCCTAGCTACTCCAGAGGCTGAAATGGGAGGATAACCTGAGGCCAGGAGTTTGAGACCAGCCTGGGCAACATAGCGAGACTCTCTTTTTAAAAAAATAAAATAAAATAAAATAACCAGGCATGGTGTCACAAGCCTGTGGTCCCAGCTACTCAGGAGGCTGAGGTGGGAGGATCACTTGAGTACAGGAAGTCCAGGCTGCAGAGAGCTATCATCACACCACTGCATTGTAGCCTAGGTGACAGAGCCAGACTTTGTCTCTTAAAAAAGAAAAAAAAGAAAAAAGCAGGGATGCTTATTGCCTATGTCATCCTCTAAAGCAAGGATTTCTATGGCAGCATAGACAGGATATAGGCAAGTTTGCATCGATCTTCAAGTATAGGACACTGAGTGGATTCCAGAAATTATGGTGGCGAGGGAGAGGAAAGTGGGGGTGATGAGGGAAACTGAGATAACGTATCTGAGTCTAAGCTTCTCACTGCCTTGTGGCCCATTTTCCAGGCTCATCTAACTTCACTTCACCTTGGCTCTTCTTCCTGAAAATAGTCATACAGACAGCTAATATTTATTGAGCAATTCAGATGCCTGATCCCACTTAATCTTCACATGGCCCTGTGAAGCGAGTACTGTCATTCCTCCCAGTTTGCAGTTCTTCGTCCTAGGTTTATAGCTGGTAAGTGGCAGAGCTGGGGATAGAACCTTAGAGGTCCTGTCCCATAAGCCTTGCTGATATTCATTCATTCATTCATGTATTCATTCATTCCTGTACCAAACATTTACTGAGTCAGGGATTGTGGCATAAATCTAAAGATAAATAATACAGTTCCTGCCCTCAAGGAACTGACAGGCTAGAGAGAGAAACATCTGCATAAGCAAATATTCACACTACATATGATGAGGACTATCCCAGGGCCTTGAACAAATTATTTGTGTTGTCCCTGATGTGAAACCAACTCTCGGAGGTTGCCCGTCTTTGCCCATTCCCAGTCTCTTTCCACAATCTTTTGTCATCCTTCAAGATGCTGAAGTTTGTGCCTGTGACCTCAACTGATCCCCTCTGCCATGCTTCTCCATGTCCTCTGGGCCTGGATGTCCCCCAGCTCCATGTGGCACTGGACATTGGGTGCCTGGTTTCCTGACAGGCCAGAGTAGGGAAGGGGAAGGGCCCTGAGACAGGCCTGGTAAGCCAGTTCTCCTCACAGCTCTCCCTCTGGCCAACAGCTAGGACTTGGACAAGTCACTTAACATCAGGGGACCTCACTTTCCACTTTTTATAAAAGAAAGTGTAGGGTTAGATGCTACTTAAGGTCTGTTCGACTTTAGGTGTTGTGTGAATGGAGCCCGAATCTCCAGCATGGAGTCAGGGCAGAAGGGGAAGGACGAATGGGGTCCTTTCCTGGAACTTCACATCCAGCCCACCTTTTCCTTCCTCCCTGGCCCTAGGCCTCACCCTTGGAAAGCCTGCTTTCCTCCTGCAGCCATGCCACTGATTTCTAGCAGGTGCCACCCTCACTAGGTGTGCTCAGGACCCTGGGTCCACCCTGGGTCCTAACTCACCAACTCCTGACCTTGAGTGATCTCCAAGGTCTACTTCAGCCCCCACATCTCTGGTCCAAATGACGAATTTGGCCACGAATCACTGTGTTAGTTCGTTCTCATGCTGCTATAAAGAAATAACCAAGACTGGGTAATTTATAAAGAGGTTTAATTGACTCACAGTTCCACGTGGCTGGGGAGGCCTCAGCAAACTTATAGTCATGGCAAAAAGGGAAGCAAACACATCCTTCTCCACATGGCAGCAGGAGAGAGAAGAATGAGAGCCCAGCAAAGGGGGAAGCCCCTTATAAACCATCAGATCTCGTGAGAACTTACTCAGTGTCATGAGAATAGCATGGGGGAAACCGTCCCCATGATTCAATTACCTCCCACTGGGTCCCTCCCATGACATGTGGGTATTATGGGAACTACAATTCAAGATGAGATTTAGGTGGAGACTTAACCAAACCATGTTAGTCACCTATGAAAGCAGAGGAAATTTGAGATTCCTAGCAACTGGCCCAGGCTCAGAGCTACTTGAGTGAGCTGGCCGCTTCCCCGATGTGGGGCCAAGACTTCCTTCCCTGCAAACAGATGATCCCAGGTCATGGAGGGAGGCTTGCTGGCTGCACCAGACCCACGCTCACCCTTGTCCTAGGCCCAGGGTTTATTATTTAAGAGTAGCACCCCAAAGAAGGTGCTGTGGATGCTTTTGCTATAGAAAGGCATTTCAGGCGTGAGTGTTTATGGATCAGATGGTTCTTCTTTCTCTCCTCTTACCCCACATAGACTATAGGGAGAAAACTAATTTCTCACTCTCCCTATAGTTTATGTGGGGTAAGAGGAGAGAAAGAAGAACCATCTGATCCATAAACAAAAATTTGCCCATGCACATACCTCCAGCTCAATATCTTCTCCTGATATGACCTTAGGGTATGGAAACTTACAGAGGGGAAGGGACATGTCTCAGGTAATTTAGCCAACAACAGGCCTGGCATAAATTACGCGCTCATGCCTTCACATGCCAAGGTGGGCTTGCTTCAGACTCACTAGGTGTGCTCAGGCCGCTGGTTCTACCCTGGGTCCTAAAACCTGATTAACAGCCTCGGCTTGCTCTCCCACACCCAGCTCTGGACAGCTGGATGGAGCAGCACCTACTCCCCATCCCACAGCAGAGGAGGATCTGGAGCTGGGATCTTGGTGTGAAATGAAGGGTTCTGCCTGGGGAGGTGGCATCTTAGAGGCTTCCACGCCTGGGCCCTGGGCTTTGCTTCCTTTGTGTTCCTGCCATTTGTTTTAGGTCTGTTCTTATAAATGCCTTTTCTGTCAGTGCAAGGAGCGCACAGATGAGGGCACAGCTGTCTCCTGAGTGTCTAGGCTCCTTCGTCAGCCTCAGTGGGCAACCTTCTTCCCAGAACATCTGCTTCAGAGTCACCCTCCTGGAGAAGGAGCCAGTGCTTACCTTTGTGTTATTCTTAAGCATTTATTGAACATCTGCTATACCCAAAGCTCTATAGCAGCCACCTCTCCTTGTGACATAAAAGTAATTTCCTTCTGTAAATATGGATAATGTGCTTATCAGGGCAGAGGCTGTGGCTGTGAACAAGAGAAAAGTCCCCCACAAGGCAAGACCTTGTCCTCTTAAAGCTTCATTCTAGCAGAATGTGAAACTATGATACAGATAGGAAAATAGTAAATATGAAATGACTAAGTTCTCTATCCTTAAGGAGTCATAATCTAGCTGGGAAAATAAAACATGGTGATTGTGTGAGTCAGGGTTCTGCAGAAAAACAAGATATATATAAAAGATGTCTGGCTGGGTGTGATGGCTCATGCCAGTAATCCCAGCAATTTGGGAGGCTGAGGCAGGAGGATCACTTAGGCTCAGGAGCTCCAGACCAGCCCAGGCAACATAGCCAGACCCTATCTCTGGAAAAAAAAAAAAAAAAAGAAAGAAACAAATAAACAAAAACCCAGGATTTCTATGTAAATTGCCTCATGTAATTATGGAAGCTGAGAAGTCCCATACCTGCCATCTGCAAACTAGGCAGCCAGGAAAACTGGTGGTATCATTCAGTAATTCAGTCTGAGTCTGAAGGCCTGAGAACCAAGAAGTCTGATGTCTGAGGGCAGGAGAAAATAGATGTCCCAGCTCAAGGGGAGAGAGAGAGAGAGAGAGAGAGAGAGAGAGAGAGAGAGAGAGAGAGAGAATTCACCCCTTCTCTGCCTTTTTGTTCTATTGGGGGCCTCAAAGATTGGATGACTTTCACCCACATTAGTAAGAGTGATCTACTCTACTAGTTCTACTGGTTCTTTTTTTTTTTTTTTTTTTGAGACAGAGTCTCATTCTGTTGCCCAGGCTGGAGTGCAGTGGTGTGATCTTGGCTCACTGCAACCTCCGCCTCCTGGGTTCAAGTGATTCTCCAGCCTTAGCCTCCCTAGTAGCTGAGACTACAGGCGTGTGCCACCACATCCGGCTAATTTTTGTATTTTTAGTAGAGACCGGGTTTTACCATGTTGGCCAGGCTGGTCTCAAACTCCTGACCTCAAGTAATTCTCCTGCCTCAGCCTCCCAAAGTGCTGGGATTACAGGCATCTGGACAGTCTACTGATTCAATGCTAATCTCTTCGGGAAACACCCTCATGGATACATGCAAAAATCATGTTTTACCAGCTCTCTGGGCATCCCTGAGCCCAGTCAAGTTGAAGTGTAAAACTAACCATCACAGCCGGGCGCGGTGGCTCACGCCTGTAATCCCAGCACTTTGGGAGGCTGAGGCAGGCAGATCACGAGGTCAGGAGATCGAGACCATCCTGGCTAACACGGTGAAACCGTTTCTATTAAAAATACAAAAAACTAGGCGGGCTTGGTGGTGGGCGCCTGTAGTCCCAGCTACTCAGGAGGCTGAGGCAGGAGAATGGCGTAAACCCTGGAGGCGGAGCTTGCCGTGAGCCAAGATGGCACCACTGCACCCCAGCCTGGGCGACAGAGCAAGACTCTGTCTCAAAAAACAAACAAAGAAAACAAAACAAAAAAACAACCATCACAGTAATCAATCAACAATATTTTATCTAAAAGCCATCATCCGTACCTAGCCAGCAGCCCTTTGTTGCTGGGAAGAACAATGGTCACAGGTTCCATTGTTTGTGGTGACAAGGGGAGATGGGGGAGAGAGCTCTGGCGCTCAGGGTCTGGAGCAGGACCACCAAGATGTGCTTCCAGACTTTGTCACGTGCCGGCTGTGAGGTTCGCACAAACCCCTTGACCCTTCTGGGCTTTGGGCTCTTCATCTGCAAAATGGTTTGTCTCATTTCCTGCACTGGGTTTTTATGAGGACAGATAAGTTAATGTACATGAAAACAGTTGGCAAACTATAAATAGCATCAAAATGTCATTATTATTCTTGAAACGAAAGGTCAGTATTTTAAAATAAAATTTTCCAAGTGTGAGGCTAATTCCCTTTGGATTCCCAGAGACTAGAGAGTTCATACGTGATAAGACAAGCACAAGCAGGTGCATCCATGTCGAAAATACTGGGCCAATTTTTCCACCAGGACCTTCAACCAGACCAGGGTGCATTTTAAGTGGAATTTGCCACCACTTACATGGGGGTGATTTCCAAACGGGTTACTGACATTCAAAATCCATCATGAGAATACTATCCCTTTAGCTTATGCTAGATGGGTTTTGTCACCTCTCACCTGAAAATACCCCACCTCGGTGAGAATGAACATTTTTGGGTGCAAGTTGTGGAAAAGCGATTCATTCATTCAACAGCACCTGGTCAGCACCAGGCTCTGGGAACACAAGGTGGTCAAGACGGCCCGTCCTCCGTGCCGATGGAGCTACTGTCCAGTGCTGACCTGAGACATCGAGCCGGCACTCCAAAAGAGGGAACCAGTCTGTGATAAGGGGCAGTCAGGCAGACATGGATACACCAAGAGGAGCGTCTAACCCAGACGTGAGAAATGCTTCCTGGAAGAAGTGCTGTTCAAGCTGGTAGCTGGAGTGAGTTGGAGTCAGCTGGGAGGGATCGGGTGGGAGTGTGGGCTGGACAAGGGAACAGCTCATGCACAGGTGCTGAGGCGAGAGAGTGGGCAGGAGCGGAAAGAAACCTGGGGCCTGGAGGGTGGAGGGCAGGGCTGGTCCGTGCGGAGATGAGGCTGCAGTGAGGCCGGCCTTGAGGGGTCCCGTGTGCTGTGCTAACCAGTTTGAACTTCCTCCTTAGGGAAGGCAACCCTTCATCCCCATTTTCCAGGGACAGTCGTGGTGTATGTCTGTTGCCTCAGCTTAGTGAGGAAGGGCACTGTCTCCTCTTGCTCTTCAAAGCTGCCTGGGTTGGATGATAAATTATTTGGTCACCTATCTCTATTAGGGCATGGAAGGCAGCAGAGTGAGGCCGTGACTGAGGGGTGGAGAGAGAAATTCAGCTGCTTTATCTGTTTGTTGTAGAGGGGCGTGGGCACAGACAGAAGGGTCTCAAAACATTCATGAGATCATTTCTCCCTCCAAGATAACTATTTCTTTAAAAACCCAAGGAATTGATTGAGGTCTCGGCCTTCAGTTTCTTGTGACCACCATTCACCCTGCCAGTCACCCAAAGAAGTTTGAAGATAGAATGTTTTGCCTCTGGAGATTCCAGTCATGAAGTACCGAGAACCAGGAGATGCCAGGAGGACAGGGTGGGAGAGGAGCAGGCGGCAGGCAGGATCTTCCTTCAGCCCAGGTCGGGGAGGAGAGTAGCAAAAATCAACTAACCTAGTTAGGTGTTACCCAAACCCCAGCTACCAACTCCTGTGGGGTTGGACACTGCCATTCTGGGGGACACTCAGGTCTGTTCTCCTGCCTTCCCGTCCTGGAAATTGGCTGGTGTGCAGTTGCCCTAGGACCCGGGGTCTCCTGGGAGCCCATCTCCCCACACCCTCCTCCCAGGAGATGAGGTCTGATATCACAGGAAATGAGAGTTACTCGGCTTAAATGCTTTTTCCAGCCTAGAGTTGGCATTTCTGCCCTGGTTCTGCCTCTCCCACAGTAATTAACTAATTAATTGCCAACAAGGGGGTGATGCAATTATGACACAATGAGCCTGGCTTTTCAGCCTCCCACCCAGGAGCCCCCACGCTCTCTGAATCAAGAGAAGCCAGCCTGTATTATTAAATAAACAGAATTTCCTCGAACTCCCGCATGGTCACTCAGCTGTGTCTAAGGCCTTAGCCTCACCACCTTCCTTGGTCCCAGAGGCCAGGCTGGGGCTGGGTCAGCTTTGAGAGTGAACACTGGACTCTGGAGAAACCCAATAGCTATTGACCACTGTGTGTCCTTAAGAAGTGCCTCTGGCCCGGGATTAGTCACGGAGGCTCCCTGAACTTGTTTCTTCATCAGTAAACAAACCTAACAAGAGCTGATGCGTTAGTGAACGTAGGGCGCTTTGTAATGCACTGCGATCCTTCTACATATATGCAAACTGAGGCCCAGGGGATTAAGTGCCCTGCCTGGGACCACCAGCAAGCAAGTGGAGCCTGGGTCAGCATCCAGGGTGCCTGGGTCCAGACAGCCTTGCCCACAGTGGCTCACTCTGGCTTGCGGGTACCCTCCTGACAGCAGACCCAGAGAATCTCTACTCCAGCTGCCTGGCTCCCCAAGGTGGAGGGCCAGGAGCTCCAGAAGTCAAAGAGCTGGTGGGAGGCTGGGAAACTTCAGAAGTCACACCTGGGGACACTCAGCCTTTAGGGGGGTTCGTGGTGCTGAGGCCCATCACACGGTCCCAGGAGCTTTGAAAGTCCAAGGGAATTACCCTAGGCGGGGGCCTCAGCCATGGTGGGGTTCCAGCCGGCCCCCAGCTTTGTTTTATTATGTGCCTTAGCAACTGCCTCCCTTGTCAACAAGAAGCCTGGGAGGACTGTTTTGTAAAAGCTCTTCCATCCTAGACTCTTGATACCTCAGCTAGGAATCTTCAGACAGAATAATTGTGAAAGCAGCCTTCAGTCAGAGTTCGCCTCCTAGTCTTATGTTTGGTGATGTGTCCCCAGCTATGCTGCAAGGTCGTCCCAGGACAAGCCTTGAGCCATCGGCTTCTCTGAATCCCCAAAGCACTTAACACAGAACTTCAATGGAGCAGTGGCTCAATTATGCTCAGATTATAAATCACAAACTCTGTTTGCATTACAACCGATTTCTTTCCAAATCTTGTCAATGGAATTTCTAAACATGTTAGCATCACTGTAATGATATGCAAGTGCTATTTGGTTCTCAACATTTTTTATTTGACATTATTTTATCTATTACACACTTCAGTGCATAATCCACATACTTGTCATTGTTAATAGCTGCGCCGGATTCCAGGGTCCCAACATACCATCCTTTGTTTAAGCATTCCCTAATTGTTGGGTATTTGGGTTGCCTCCAATGTTTGAACACTATTAATAGTGCTGCTGGGCCACCTGGTTTTTCTCTCCTTTGCCTGGACATGAGGAGATGGGATGGGATGAGGGAGGGAACATTTTCTCTCCTGCATTCCCAGAAAGGCCTATTCTTCACACTACTTCCCTGGGCTGGGAATAACAGAGGCCAATGTCTGCTGTTCTGTCACAGACAGGCTATTATCTCAGACTGTCATTGGGAGACTTCTTATAAGGCCTGTGGTGCCCCAGGAATAAGAGCAAGGCCCTCAGCTGGCTGCACTCAGGGGCTCTGGACTCAGCAGGGCTTTCATGTTGAGCTGTTTGCTGTGAATTTGGCTTTTCCTGTATGTGGCTCTGTTGAACCATCTCATCAGACAGGCCCTGAGGAGAGACCTGATAATATCTCTCCTGTTCCTAGCAGGTCATTTCAAGGTTACACTGGGAATCCCAGAACTTCTGAGCTGAAAGGTAATCTTTCTGTTTAACTAACCGACCTTTCTATTTCACAGCTGAGGACATTGAGGGCCAGAGAGGGAAAGTAACTTTCCCAAGCTCACTCAGCTGTTTTTGGCAGAGCTGGGCTGGGGCCGGGAGGGCCTCCCACCCCCAGGCAGGCGTTAGTGTCACCTGGCTTCCCCAGGGTAGCATGTTTATGGATTGGAATCCTTCTTGAAGTTAAGATACCAATTCTCCGCAAATTGAACTGTAGATGTAACACAATCCCAAGCCAAGGCACAGCAGGATTCTTTGTGGATACAGGCAAGTGAATTCTAACACTTATATGAGAAGGTAAAGCCAAGGCAATTTTGGGAAAGAACAAATTTGGAGACTCACACTACCTGATACTATCAAGCTACAGTCATGCAAACAGTGTGGTATTGGTGAAAGGATAGACAGAATAAAGAGTCTAGAAATAGACACACACAAATATGGTCAATTGATTTTTGGCAAAGATATATAAAGGGAATTCAATGGAAAAAGGACAGTCTTTTTAATAAATGATGTTGGAGAAATTTGATATCCTATGCAAAAACAATTACCCTTGACCTGTGCCTCACGTTATAGAAAAGTGAATTAAAAATAGATCATGGACCTAGATGTAAAGTATGTAACTATAAAACTCTTAGAAGAAAACAGGAGAAAATCGTTGTAATCTTGACTTAAACAAAGAGTTCTTAGATACGACAACCAAACCATGCTCTATAAAAGAAAAACAATAAATTGGACTTTATCAAAATTAAACACCTTTACTCTTGTGAAAGACATTTTAAAGAGAATGAGAAGAAAAGCTGCAAACTGGGGGGAAATACTTGCAGATCACATATCAGACAACAGACATCTAGACTATAAAAAGAACTCGTAAAAGTAAGATCAGAAACAACCAATTTTTAAAAACTAGGCAAGATTTGAAAAGATGCTTCACCAATTAAGATATAGAAATGGCAAACGAATACATGAAAAGATGCTCATTAGTGATTAAGGAAATGCGAATTGGCCGGGCGTGGTGGCTCACGCCTGTAATCCCAGCACTTTGGGAGGCCGAGGTGGGCGGATCACCTGAGGTTGGGAGTTCGAGACCAGCCTGACTAACATAAAGAAACCTCGTCTCTACTAAAAATACAAAATTAGCCAGGCGTAGTGGTGCGTGCCTGTAATCCCAGCTACTCAGGGGGCTGAGGCAGGAGAATCACTTGAACCCGGGAGGCAGAGGTTGCAGTGAGCCGAGATCGTGCCATTGCACTCCAGCCTGGGCAACAAGAGCGAAACTCCGTCTCAAAAAAAAAAAAAAAAAAAGGAAATGCAAATTAAAACCAGAATGAGATACCATCTCATGCCTATTAGGTTGGCTAAAAATACTGACAATACCAAATGCTCACAAGGATGTGAAGAAACTGGAACTCTCATACATTGGTGGTGGGAATACAAAATGGTACAGCCACACTGGAAAATAGTTTGATTATTTCTTATAAAGTAGAATCTATTTACCATACAACACAGCAATCCCACTTCTAGGTATTTCTACCGGAGAAATGAAAACATTCTCCTACCAAAAACTACACCAATATGCATAGCGGCACTACTCATAAGCTCCAACATGTGAAAACAACCCAAATGTCCCTCATTGGATGAGCGGATAAACGAACTGTGGGACGTTCATACAATGGAAACTACTGTGCAGTAAAGAGGAAAAAACTATTCATACAACGACTTAAATGACTCTCAAATGCATGATGCTAAATGAAAGGCCTGTCACAAATCAGAGCTCACTGCTTCCATCCTCCTTCCCCTTTCTTTAAACTCTAAGTGAAAGAAGCCAGTTTCGAAAGGTTACATACTGTGTAATTCCATTTATATGGCATTCTGAAAATGGCAAAATTACAGGAACAGAAAATAGATCAGTGGTTGCACAGAGCTTGGGATGAAGGAAGGGCCTGAATGCAAAGGCATAGCATGAGGAAATGCTTTGTGATATAGGAATTGTTCTTTATCTTGTTAGTAGTGGTGGTTACATGAATCTGTGCTTGTATTAAAACTCAGAGAGGACTCTACATCCAAAGTGACTTCTATTTTATGTAAGTTAAAAACACAAAAAGCTGACAAAATACTTTTGTATCATTAACTTATCTAAGTCTCCTAACTACCCATTAGTGGATCCACTGGACACTTTGAAGAAGGAATGAATTGTTCATTCATTTATTAATTTAAGAGCTATTTATGGGCCCTTACTATGGGCATTTCTCTAGGTACAGGCGCAAAGAAAAGTTTTGATCTCAGAGAGCTCCCATTCCAGCAGGTAATTCTTCTGAATACTGAGTTTCCCCCACCTGTGAGTTTGTAACTTCCCATCTTGACCCTCTCACTGCAGGAAGCTGCCACCTCCCACTGCAGCTTCCCAGTCACCCGGGGCCTGGGCTGCGTGGCCTGTATGGAGGTCAATGCTTGGGCCCTGGAACGCTGCACCAAGCAGCAGGGGAGATGGGTAGCAGCAGCCTTGCCCTGGGTCTGGTACCCAGACTGCCTGGCCACCCACTGTAGGGGTTGCATTTGGCCTAACCTTTCCAACAGATGAAACAGACCCTCTTGACATGGCTCAAGTTCTCCTACTTGCTGTCAGGACTGTTCTGCTGTGAGCTCTGCTCTTTCTCCAGTGATTAGAATCAACACAAATGGGGATAGGGGTGGAGTAAAGAGGGGAATATATGAGCAAGAGTGGGGAGATGAAGGGCAAGGGAGGTGAGCGTGTAAGCAACAGTATACAACACAAAGTACTGTACACATAAAATACAGGGAGGTGAGTGTGTAAGCCACAGTACACACATGAAATACTGTACACATAAAATACAAGGAGGTGAGTGTGTGAGCAGTGGTACACACGTGAAATACTGTACACATGAAGTACAGGGAGGTGAGTGTGTCAGCAATGGTACGCACATGAAATACTGTACACATGAAATACAAGGAGGTGAGTGTGTGAGCAGTGGTACATACATGAAATACTGTACACACAAAATACAGGCAGGTGAGAGTGTGAGCCACAGTACACACATGAAATACTGTACACACAAAATACAGGAAGGTGTGTGAGCCACAGTACATACATGAAATACTGTACACACGAAATGCAGAGAGATGAGTGTGTGAGCAATGGTACACACATGAAATACTGTACACATGAAATACAGGGAGTGAGTGTGTGAGCCACAGTACACACTTGAAATACTGTACACACAAAATATAGGCAGGTGTGTGAGCCACAGTACATACATTTAATACTGTACACACGAAATACAGGGAGGTGAGTGTGTGAGCCACAGTACACACATGAAATACTGTACACACGAAATATTTTGAGTCCTCTAAACAATGTTATAAAACAGATGTTTCTCCCCTATATCCAGGTGGCATAATGGTGACCTGGGGGATTGCATGGCTTGCCCAATTCCCACAGCTAGGAAAAGGGCTAAATCAGGCTTCTAACTCAAGTCTCTGTGCCCCCAGAGCCTGTGCCCTTCCCCATCCCACCCTGCCTCCAGGCTACAGGAGCCACAGGCCCAAGTTCATGGGCAGGCAGCCAAGCTTCCCCCTTGGAAATGCCCTGGCTTCACCTGGGTGCTCCAGCTCCCAGACAAGACTTAGTGGAGACAGGGTGTTCAGAGTTAGAACCCACAGAGTCTGGGTTCTAACTCACATGGCTTTGGGCAAAGAGCATGTTCCTTCCTTACCTCCCTCTCCAGGAACATCAGAGGGGGTAATTTAAGAGCCTCCCTCCTGTCTTTCCACAGTGTGGTAGGCAATGACCCCGATATCTGCTAAAAGCTGCAAGATGGTCCTGATAAATTTCATTCTGGGTTGGCCCTCAGGCCACCTAACAGAGTGCTTCAGCACACATCCTGGAGGCCCTGACCTTCCTGTATCCAGACCCAGCCTTGACTCTGGATCCACAAAGAATGTGTGAGTATCACGTTGGAGGCTCCTAAGGGGGCCACTGCTAAAGTCCCACTGCAGAGAGGACCAAGGCCAGGAGCACAGTGGGTGAAAGGGAAGGGCCTGGGTGAAAAGACCTCTTCAAGCCCTGCAGGGTGGGCCGGGGGCTCCCAGAGGCAGGCAGGCGTGCTCCTCCAGTCTGTTTCCCCAGTCAGTGAAGCCTCTGGTTGAGCTCATGACATGGCAGCATCTTCTGAGGCCCAGAGGAAACCTGCCTTAACTCTTGGGCAAAGGGATCCTTTCTAGAAGACAGAGGGGGGTTTGAGATAATGATGGTCTCAGGGACAGGGTTTCAGGCACCTAATGTCCTAAGGGAGTCAGAGAATAGGTGGGAATCACTGTCGGGGTTGGGGAGTAGCAAAAGTGACAGTAAGTGTTGACTGTGAAGAGTGATGGGGCTGGGTGACCAGAAGTAGGAAACTGGTTTGGGATATGATGAGCTTTCTCTTCAAATAATCTCATCAATCTTTTATTCTTTAATTCATAGTACCCCCCACGCCCCTGCCTTTTCTCCTTTTCCCCTTTTTGCCTTTGTTAGATGCCCAGGCACGCCACAGTACCAGGCGTTATCAGTACCAGCTCACACTCCTTTCCTTATTTGGAAAGAGGACTCACTTTTTAGCTCACTACAGACACCCCTCCCCCTTCCCCTCCACTTTCTTTTATGTGCCCACCTTATCTAAAAAAATCAAATGTTTAGCCAACCGGGATTAGTTTAGATTGTACGACCTGACCCTGGCCAATAGGGAAAGGGTATAGGGGCAGGACTTGCATCAGGAATAAAGGCTCTTGTGCCCCTTCCTACAGGTGTGCTTTCATGGCGACTGGCCAAGGAGGCACCCCTCTGCGCAGAAGTAAAATTTCTTTGCTAAGAATCCTTTGTTCAAGTGTTCAATTTCCTTAGGATTTTGAGCGTTATTCCTAACACTGGCAGGGATGTATGGTCGGGAAGGAGACATGGGGACCCTGCTGGGGTCTGGGGCCCAGGGGCATTTCTCCACAACTTGAAGGGATTGACCCCAAAAAACCAAGCTCAAGGCACTAAGGGGCTGGAGAACTCATGAGATGGCCCAAACTAAAGGGACACCAGATTGGTCCCCTGGGGCCGGAGGGGCTATGGGGTGAAGGCTTGGTCATGGGAGTCATCTCTAGTGCTTGCCCTAGAACAGAAGATCACAGAGCAGCTTGGATAAAGCTGACTTGGGGTTACAGCCCTAGAACCAGGACGGACCTCATAGCCAGGAGCGGTGGTTCGAGGCCTGCAGAGGCCCAGGGTCCCTGCTGGGGAATGGAGTGAGGGAGTGAGGCAGGGATCTGGGGATGACAGGACACAGCCAGCATTGAGGAATGCCTTGTGTTGTAGGAGCCGGGGAGTGCGACATTGGAGTGGGACATTACTAGCTGTATGGCCTGTACAAGGGCCCACACCTTCCTCCCCTTGTCCAGGTCTCCTATCTATAGAATGGGGGTGAGAAAACCAATCTCTAAAGTTTCTTGCTTGGTTGGGCATGGTGGCTTACACCTGTAATCCCAGCACTTTGGGAGGCCAAGGGGAGAGGATTGCTTGAGCCCAGGGTTTCGAGACCAGCCTGGGCAACAGAGTGAGACCATGTCTCAATAAAAAATAAAAATAAAAAAAGTTTCTTATGAGAATTAAATGACAATAACACACAAAGTGCCTAATACATAGTGGGTGTTGGGAGGAAAAGGGGTCTAATTTGTTCAATTGTCATCTGCCATGGAGGTAGAAGGAAAAGTGTAGGCCAGAGGTTATCAAACTTGGCTGAAAATCACAATCAACTGGGGGGCTTGTCAACCCAGTTTGCCATTGCCCGCCCCTGGAATTTCTGTCTGTAGCTCTGGGTGGGTCCTGAGATCATTTCTAACAAGTTTCTACTGCTGCCGCTGCTGCTGCTGCTGGCCTGAAGACCACATTCTGAGAACCCCTGATGTAAATACGAAGAGGGTCAGCCCACTTTTGAGTGGCGGAAAATTGTGGTTCTACCACTTTCTAGTTCTGGGGCCTTGAACAATTTACTTAACTTCATTGTGGCTTAGTTTCTTCACTTATAAAATAAAGATAATTGTGCCTTGGGATTATCGTAGGGTGTTATAAAGATGAAATGAGTTAACAAATGTGTAAATGGTTTGGAAGAGTATCCGATAAAATGTAAACACTCAAAAATGTTAGCTCTTAGTATATGGTAGGCCCTTGAAAAATACATTATCTCAATTGTCAAAAGATCAGCAGCAGCAGTTAATATTATCATCTCCATTTTACGGCTGAAGAAGTGTAAGCTCAGAAAGATGAGATCTACTATGCAACTAGGGAACCCAGGCTGCCATCTGAACCCAGATCTTCCAGCTCCATAGTTAGGGCTGTTACAAATCAAGTCTCACTGCTTCCTTCCTCTTTTTTTTCCTTTAAGCTCTGAGAGTGGATGATTCGGCCCTTAAGCCTGAGAGGCTGAGAGTGGGTAGGGCTCAGTGCCTGGAGCAGGGAAGAGTGGAGGAGGAAGCTCAGGAGGAAGTTTGCCTGGGAACCTGGCACAAATGTTACTCAGGATGCACAGTGGGGATATTTTCGTGTGTTCAGAGGGCAGATATGCGGATGACTCAACGTTTTGCCCACGTAGTGCCTCTTGTTGCTTGGCTGCCTTAGCTGATTGAAGTCATCAGTGGATAATGTAGCAGGTGCAAATGAATTGGCTACTGATGGTTTATACAACCCTGGAGGACGCCCCTACTCTCGGCCTAATATGGACAGAAAATACAGTTATTGGACTACAGCATCAAAATACTACAGCCCTGTGGACGATGAATCAGAGCATCTCCCTCACCCACAGAGACCACAGTGTTCCACAAGAAGGGAAGATCTGCAGTAGCAATTCCTGCGGCGGGGGGAGGCTTCGTGTCTCCCCGTCCTAATTGCTGTCAGTTGCCCTGCACTGAGTGCTCACGAACAAGGAAGGAGGCACTGCGTGTGGTCATCCCAACTCCTCACAGCTGCTGAAGAGAAAACTCTCATCCATATATGGTGTTCAATGGGTTTATATGTTGATGACTCCCATCATGTATTTGCAGCCCAAATTCTGACTCTTCTGTCCTCTGTCTAGAAGATATATCTATCTATGTGTCCTTTACACTCCCTGGATTCACCATGGCCAAACCTCCTTTGAGATGAAGTCTCAATCTGTTGCCCAGGCTGTAGTGCAGTGGCGGGATCTCGGCTCATTGCAATCTCTGCTTCCCAGGTTCAAGTGATTCTTGTGCCTCAGCCTTCTGAGTAGCTGGGATTGCAGGCATGCGCCACCATGCTGGGCTAATTTTTTTTTTTTTTTTTTTTTTTTGACGTGGAGTCTCACTCCTGTCACCCAGGCTGGAGTGCAATGGTATGATCTCGGCTCACAGCAACCTCCACCTCCTGGGTTCAAGCGATTCTCCTGCCTTAGCCTCCCAAGTAGCTGGGATTACAGGCGCCTGCCACCATGCCTGGCTAATTTTTGTATTTTTAGTAGAGATGGGGTTTCACCATGTTGGCCAGGATGGGAGAACTAACCTCAGGCAATCTGCCCACCTCGGCCTCTCAAAGTGCTGGGATTATAGGTGTGAGCAACCGTGCCCTGCCTAATTTTTGTATTTTTAGTAGAGATGAAGTTTCGCCATGTTGGCCAGGCTGGTCTTGAACTGAGCTCCTGACCTCAAGTGATCCGCCCCCTCTCAGCCTCCCAAAGTGTTAGGATTACAGGTGTGAGCCACCACACCTGGCCCAATGTTCCCTTTACTATCCTCTTCCCTCAAACTTTGCTCTTTCTCTGTCCCCACTGTCTCACTTGGTGGTAGCAGCCACTAAGTACCCAATCCAGAGGCTCTGAGAAGACGCTAGGTGTACCTTTTTTTTTTTTTTGAGACAGCTTCTCACTTTGTCACCCAGGCTGGAGTGCAGTGGTGAAGTCATGGCTCACTGCAGCCTCAATCTCCCGAGCTCTGGTGATCTTCCCACCTTAGTCTCCTGAGTAGCTGGGACTACAAGTGCACACCACCACGCCCAGCTAGTTTGTTGCATTTTTTTGTAGAGACAGGGTCTCACTGTATTGCCCAGGCTGGTCTTGAACTCTTGTGCTCAAGTGATCTGTCCACCTCAGCCTCCCAAAGTGCTGGGATTTCAGTTGTAAGCCACCTGGCCTGAGATTTACTTTTTAATTTTAATTAATAGACTATTTTTCAAGAGCAGTTTTAGGTTTATGAAAAATTGAGAAGATGCTGGGCGTGGTGGCTCACGCCTGTAATCCCAGCACTTTGGGAGGCTGAGGCGGGTGGATCACCTGAGGTCAGGAGTTCGAGACCAGCCTGACCGATATGGTTAAACCCCGTCTCTACTAAAAATACAAAAACTAGCTGGGAGTGGGGACAGGTGCCTGTAGTCCCAGCTACTGGGGAGGCTGAGACAGGAGAATTGCTTGAACCCGGGAGGCAGAGGTTGCAGTGAGCCGAGATCATGCCACTGCACTCCAGCCTGGGCGATAGAGCAAGACTCCATCTCAAAAAAAAAACAAACAAACAAAAATTGAGAAGAAAGTATCAATAGCCATATCCCTCCTCCCCACTAGTTTCCCTTATTATTAACCCCTTGGATGAGTATGGTTCATTTGAGTTTGTTACAATTGATAAACCAATATGGACACATTTTTATTAACTGAAGTCTGTATTTACATTAGGGCTCACTCTTTGTGTTGTACTGTTTGTTTGTTTGTTTGTTTGTTTGTTTGTTTGTTGAGATGGAGTCTCGCTCTGTCTCCCAGGCTGGAGTGCAGTGGCACGATCTTGGCTCACTGCAAAGTCCACCTCCCAGGTTCAAGCAATTCCCCTACCTCAGCCTCCCAAGTAACTTGGATTAGAGGCACCCACCACCACACCTAGCTAATTTTTGTATTTTTAGTAGAAACAGGGTTTTGCCATATTGGCCAGGCTAGTCTCGAACTCCTGACCTCAGGTGATCTGCCCACTTCGGCCTCCCAAAGTGCTGGGATTACAGGTGTGAGCCAACATGCCTGGCCTTGTGTTGTACATTCTACATATAGGTTTTGAGAGACATTCTGTATGTTATTGTAATGGTGGGTATATTTAATGCCAAGTTTGTTCCTAAAGCAGATAGTGGCCTTGTAGTGGGGTACACATAGTGTGTCCCCCGAGAAGAGGAGCACTCAGAACATATTTGTCAGTCCCTTCCATCCTTTCTCCCTCTGCCTCAAGGAACACCTACTACCCCAGGTTTGGTTCCTGGTTGGCCCTGACCCCGGCTTGCCTGTGTCAGATGGGAGCTGCCTGTGGTTTGTAGATTAGCCCTTATCTTAAATGCCAAGCTCCAGGTCTGACCTCACACAGAGCTTTGGGCTGATCTGATGATATTTGGTGAGGAACAGATGCACTTCTTGACTATAAGACCTGTGGTTCAGTCTCAGGTCTCACCCTTTGTCAATTTTATGCACTTATTCATTGACTTAGTTTTTACAGCTGGGGCTCCACGACCAGCCCCAGATGATCACAACAGCTGGGAGGCAGAAGTGACTTGGAACAGCTGAAGTCCTAAAAAAGAGCCTTAGGTCTGATTTCCATTCAGTCGTGTTGGCCTCCCTTGCTAGTTAGCTGAGAGGAAGGAGGACTTTCTTTCTACCCACTCCAACTCTCATAAGGCCCCCAGTGATATCTGTGTTGCTGGAGTGGGATGGGGTGAGAGAGGGAGAGGGAGTAGAAAGAGAAACACAAGAAATTCAGGGATTGAGCCATATTCCTGGTCCTCACATTGGCACTACTGAAGGCCTCTGTTAGCCTTTCAACTCTTGGATGCCTCGATGGTTCACTTTAGAAGGAAAAGGGAATGATTTGGAATGCCTGCACTTGTTGCAGGGTGATTTATCCAGGGAAAAGGAATGCACTGTTCACATTTCTTAGCCTTTTTTTCTTTTAATTGAAGTGATGTGAGCAATTAAAATGTTTCCTTCCAAAAAAAGCCCTTTAAAAATTCTATGAAGGTAGCCAGATTTCAATTATGTTCATTATGACTAGATTTAGATGTGTATTTTGTATAATGTAGAGGCATAGGACATCTATGTCATGAACATTCTAGAACCATCCCCAGAAAAATGCAGTTTCATTAGGCACACACATAACATTTGCATGTATGGATGGGGGTGAGTCTTGGATCTTTTGCAGCCCACCTAGTGATGGCCACTAGGATCACAAACTTTAAGAACAGCTCAGTGACCCTAACTTTCATATTCTGATCCTACATTGTGCTAAGGTGTGTGTGAAGTGACCAAATTTAATAGATAATAAAATTACTAGGCTGTGTGCTGCTATCTGGCCAACGCTTGCTTTGGACATCCTTGACAATACCCTCTACCTTGCCTCTTCAAGGGTTTTAACCTCTCCATGACATTGTCCTCTATGGGAGGGCTCATGCACCCCACCCCGCCCAAGAACTTCCCCTTAACATTTTACAAATGCTGTAGAAAAAATTTTGTGTGGCTGGGCGCCGTGGCTCATGCCTGTAATCCCAGCACTTTGGGAGGCCGAGGCAGGTGGATCACTTGAGGTCAGGAGTTCGAGATCAGCCTGGCCAACATGGTGAATCCCGTCTCTACTAAAAGTACAAACATTAGCTGGGCGTACTTAGCTGGGTGTGGTGGTGCACACCTGTAGTCCCAGCTACTTGGGAGGCTGAGGCAGGAGAATCGCCTGAACCCGGGAGGCAGAGTTGCAGTGAGCTGAGATGGTGCCACCGCACTCCAGCCTGGGCGACAGAGCGAGACTCTGACTCAAAAAAAAGAAAAATGGTGTTTCAGTGTAAACCTATGCATTGTCTACAGCAAAGCTGTCAGGGCTATCAGATTCTACTATGCATTGTCTTTGAGCTATTTTGCAAGGCTCTGTAAATTGGAAGTAACCGATAGATATGTAAATTATGTCTTGTCTGATAGTGATTTAATTGACTTCCTCCCCTTTTGGGAAAAAAAGCAATTTAATCTCCATTTGCAATTCATCTCTACATTCCTTCACTCAGTAAGAATTTGTGTGTTTTTGACTTTTCCTTTGAACTATTGCCTGGTTTCTTGGTATCAGGAGTAAATAAATTCTTCAACGTGTACATTTTTATATTTGTATGTGAATCATAATTTTATTCTTTTTCTGAAAAATAACTTTTAATACTATAGTGTCTCTTTCTAACCCTTTAGGAGACTTTTTTTTAGGCTACCATTTGAATTTTGTTAGACTTCATGCCTCTTCTATCCTCACCAATTACCTCTCTTACCCCCTCCCTAGTCCACCCAATTTATTGCTTCTCCTGGATTCCTCTGTTCTTTTACCCTAGACTTGTGCAAAATCAGGCTTGGACATATCCAGGCACTGCTGGAAACCAAATGTTTTGAGGTTGGTTATGTTGTAAATTTCAGCTTCAGCACTGAAGAAATAGAGCCTGGGCATGTTTTGGTATTTAGGATCATTTAAAAGCTGCCTGTTTGGAGACAGAGACCATAGTTAGCATTTTCCCAGCTTTGGAAGGCAGACTTAGGGCTCGCATTTTTTTCAGATGATTTGTAGGACATTAATTGTGCAAATAATTTAACCCTTTGCTTCAGATTTTTTTCCTTTTAAAACAGAGGAGAGTTTAATCCTGAGGAGGAGCTCTGTTGTCGTCAGTGAATGTTTTGGTTTTTTGTTTTCTAATGGCTTCAATTAAGAACTACAACACACCCTGAGTGTGACTTTGCCAATATATTTAGGCTGGCTTATTTCAGTGTGCATGCATGTGTGAAAGACACACAGAAAATAGAGGAAATGAGAGAACACTCTCAAAACTTGCTAAGTGTATAAACTGTGATATTATGTTCATAATTCCCTTTTTCTTCGGCTGTCAGGTTTGAGCCTCAAACATTTTTTATTCCAAGGGAAACAACAGCCCCTGCAAGTAACCCAAGTTCACGGCTTTCCTGGGCCCTTGGAAGCAGGGGAGGCACTCTTTTACTTGGAAGGGTTAATTGAAGACACTTAAGTTTACTCTTGGTCAAATTCACAACCAGGAGAGCTAGAGAGAGAGGAAGTGAATGAGTCTCACTTGTCAAACTTTCCTTTTTGGTTTTTTTTTTTTTTTTAAACTTAACTCTTTCTTTACCCTGGTGTGGACAAAGTGCACTTTAAACCTAAAGGTTTCATGGTTTCAACGTACACTTGATGAACGTTCTTGGATCTCCTGCTAGAAAACATGTTGGTGCATCAAAGAAAAGGGGAAATGATACCTAGCTTATGAAGGAACACTTTCTTCTGAAAATGGAGATGGAAGATGGGTCACAGATTGAGACTAAACATAGTCTCTATGGGCCTAGAGGAAATTTCTCTGGCTAGCTCAGTGAGAGCTGGGGAGGCCATTTCAACATTTTATGAATGAAATTCTTCATCAACACTGTTTCATTAGAGAGACGGACTTGACCCTGGACTAATATAATTGCAGCACTGGAGATATTAATGTAATTTTGAGGCCTCATGTCACATTATAAAAACACAGTGCTATAAAAGACTCTAATTTGCCAAGCTCTACCAGACACCAGATGGTACACTTACAGAGAGAAATTTTTTCCTTGAACAGAAGGTAGTCTGTGATGTCATAAGCAGGAGAAATCACCAATACTCAGGGTCTTGGACACTGACATTCTTTTGAGCTAGCAGAGAAAAAGGCCCACAGATACCCAAAGGGGCAGTGCTAGGTTATGTGGTCCTGACTTTTCTTCTTCCTGCCATCAGCCCCCTGGTAATGAAAGAGAGACTCACAAAAGGGGGATTAGAAACTCCTGGCAACCCTGTTAATGGCTTCCTGTGGGATCTCATTTCCTCTGAAACCCCCAGAAATGAGGAAACCTCAGCTTATTTCAGACTCACCCTTCTCCATTTTACTTTACCCACATCAAGCACCATTGATTCCAATCCTGATATTTCAGACCCCCACAGTGGCTGCAGCCTGAGCTCCTGCCTTCTTCACTACCTGGGCTGAATAAACAGTGAGCTCTGCCTTAGGTCTCTCTCTGTCCTTCCCATCTCTTCCCTCTATCTTCTTCATGCTGCCAGAGTGGTTTTCTTAAATGCAAATTCTATCATGTCTCTGTCTTGCTTAAAAATCATTGATGGCACCTCGCTGCCTGGACCAGTAATGGGAAAAATTGGCCCTAGATTAAAAGTTGCTTTGACCCAGGTAAAAAGCTTGAAGGCAAGTCTTGAAAAATCAAGTTGTTTCCAAGTAGCTTAATTGAGTCCCAGAATAAAACTCAAAAGCATTTAAAGAAGAAACCTAGCATTCAGCACTAATCTGGCATCCAATAAAAAATTATCAGGCGTCAAAGAACTAGGAAAACAATATAAAGAGGAGAAAAATCAATCAATAGAAATAGATACAGAAATGACACAGGTGAATAGACAAGAACAGTATTTTAAATGAGGTAAATATACTCCATATATTTATGGAGAAGACAGAGGAATGCATGAGCATATTAAAGAGATGGTGGTAGATATTTAAAGGAGAAGACCTAAATCAAACTTGTAGAGATTAAAACAAACAAACAAGAACCTCTAATGTCTGAGATGGAAAAACACACTAGATGGGAATAAGAATGAATTGGACACTGCAGACTGAAGAAAAACAGTAAACAGCATCAGTGAGCTGCAGAACAACTTCAAGCAAGATAATATAACATATAGCTTATATACAATAACATATAATAATTCTTTTTGCAGTCCCCACAAAAAGAATAGAGAGATAGAAGGAAGAAATAATAAGGCCGGGCGCAGTGGATCATGCCTGTAATCCCAGCACTTTAGGAGGCTGAGGTGGGCGGATCACGAGGTCAGGAGATCGAGACCATCCTGGCTAACACAGTAAAACCCCGTCTCTACTAAAAATACAAAAAATTAGCCGGGCGTGATGGTGGGTGCCTGTGGTCCCAGCTACCTGGGAGGCTGAGGCAGGGGAATGTTGTGAACCCGAGACGCAGAGCTTGCAGTGAGCTGAGATAGTGCCACTGTACTCCAGCCTGGGAGACAGAGCGAGACTCTTTCTCAAAAAAAAAAAAAAAAGAAATAATAGCTGAATGCTTTTTTCTAATTTGATAAAAATATTTAGGAAGCTCGATGGGCCCTAAGCACAAGAAACATGAAGAAAACAACACCAGTGTACATAATCAAATTGCTTAAGAACAGAGATAAGGAGGAAAACCTTAAAAACAGCCAGGACACGGGCATGAAGAACAAAGAAAATAACAGCAGACTTATTGTTGGAAACAATGCAATCCAAAAGACAGTTGACCAACTTCTTTAATGAACTGAAAGACAACACCGTGAACCTAGAACTCTATATACAGCAAAATATCTTGCAAAAAAAGGTGAACTAATTATTTTAGACATACAAAAGTTAAAAGAATTGGTCACTAATCCTAAAGAAAGTTAAAGGAGAATCTTTGGACAGAAAGAAAATGAAATCAAATAGAAGTTTTGTTCTACATAAAAGAATGAAAAGACTGTAAATAATAAATATGTGGTAAATATTAAAAACAAATTTATTTTTAACATGTCTTTAAAAGGCAATTGATCATTAAAAACAAAAATAATAACAATGTATTGTGAGGTTTATATGCACAAGTAAAATGGCTAGCAAGAATAACACAAAGGCCAGGAAGGGAGGGTGTAAATGCAAGTATACTGTAAGGTTCTTGTGTTGTAAATGAATTGCCATCCTATATTTTGAAGATGAATTGTGATAAACTGAAGATGTATACTATATACGCTAAAGCAAACATCCCAAACACAAGACAAACAGATATAACTAATAAGCCAATAAAAGAGATAAAATAGAATTATAAAAAATAATTTACCTCAAAAGAGGATGAAGATGAAAAAAACAGGTAACAAAAACAGATGAGACAAATGGCAAACAAAGCGCAAGATAGTAAGTTTAATAATAATCATATCGATAATCACATTACCTTCAAATGGTGTAAATATCCCATTTAAAAGGCAGAGATTGTCAGATTGGAGTTTTTTTAAAAAGGCAAGCTCTATATTCTGTCCGTCAAAAAACAAATTGAGGCCAGGCACAGAGGCTCATGCCTGTAATCCCAGCACTTGGGAAGGCCAAGGTGGATGGATCACATGAGGTCAGGAGTTTGGGACCAGCCCGGCCAACATGGTGAAACCCCATTTCTACCAAAAATACAAAAATTAGCCGATCATGGTTCTGGGCGCCTGTAATCTCAGCTACTCTAGAGGTTAAGGCAGGAGAATCGCTTGAACCCAGGAGGCGGAGGTTGCAGCAAGCTGAGATTGTGCCACTGCACTCCAGTCTGGGTGGCAGAGCGAGACTATGTCTCAAAAAACAAACAAAGAAACAAAAAAACCAAATTGAAATATGAGGACACAAATAGGTTAAAATTAAAAGGATAGGAAAAGATGCTATGGTCACACTAATCAGAAAAGCCTCTCCTCCTACAATGAGGAGTCATAGGAAGGCAGGCAGTTTGGAGGGAAGGGGCAGAGAAAGACGCCAGCAGTGTCCCTCCCACATCATTTCTTGTAATGGAGGCAGAGTCTCCTTCTCAGAACTGCTGCACAGTGGGGCACGGCAGTCCACAACACCCACTGCGAGCCAGTCCTGTGGGGGCAAATGATGGAGAAGGTGGAGTAGACAAGGCATCCTGGTGAAGGTCTGGTTTTGTTTTCGTGTCAGGGAAGGACCGGTTGCTAGGAAGTGCCCACAGGGAGTGCTGTGAATAGAACGACTGGGAAAGGTCAGCACGGCTCCCAAGCCAGGCGGGGAGGTGACTGCTGAGCATGAGAAGGCTGGTGCGTTGGTATTATTTTGTATTCATCAAACCCTTTAGAAATCCTGTTCGGGGCAGAATGCTAGGAAGTGCTGGGTCATCCGGGGGTGTCGATTTTCCTCATGTCCTGGGTGTGACCTCAGGCCTGATGGAGTGTCATTCTGTCTACGTCATTCAAATGAAATCAGTCCTTCTCTCACCAAAGCTTAGCCACACACGCAGAGCCAAAATCGACCTCCCTGGAACTTTCTGCCATGGCTGCCAGCGACTTTTGTGTCAAGGAGGGCCACCATGATTGTGAGGGAGCTTCCCTGGCCCTTGCTGGGGAGTGCATGAGTAGAGTCAGAGCCATGGGGAGGTAGGCAGCCAAGCACCTGAGGGTTGAAGTCCAGGCTGACGGGGGAGGCTTGGACCAAGGAAGCTCCACTGGGCCCAGGCTATCAGGTGGCCCCATGGGAAGTCCTTGCTCTGGGAAGGAACACAAGAGCTAGAACGGTCCATGTTGGGATACAAAGAGCCACAGACCTAGAGTGGCATTTTGAAACGTTTAGTCATTTTAGGCAATGTTTCTCCAGAACTGGATTCCAGAGTCCTACATCAGAGAAGCTGTTCTAAAGCCCCCCACACCTGACGAAACCTAGAACTCTCCATTTAGGTGACTGATGGTGGCTGGAGGGGACCAGGGACACCCTCCCAGATGTAACTGGGGCCGGGGTATATAAGTCAAAGATGAATGAGGCTCCTAGGTGGGGGCCTTATTTCTTTCCTTCTCCCACTGTTTCTTCCAGAAAGGAGCAATTACCCCACCGGGCCCCTGGGCAAGTACCCCAAGAGTGCCTGAGTAGCCCCAGCTCCACCCAGACTACAGTGCCACAGCCACCAACCAGACTGTCTGTCTCGAGCCTCCATTTTCTCACTTCCACCCTCCAGGCAGCTGCAAGGTTAGTGCCCTACAAATCACAGCTCACTCTTATCACAGAACAGAACTCATCATCTTCAGCCTGGAGTTCACCAGCAATCTTTATTTTTCCCCTTCACGTAAATAATGTGCATTCATATCTGTTTCCATATCTGTTTCTCCACTCGCCTGTCTTAGCCTGGGTACCCTGAGGCACAAGCTGGTACGCTACTGCCTTATTAGGGTGTGCAATGCTTGGGAAGTAAAAGCAAAGGAAGAGTGGAGTGGGGCAGGAAGCTGGGAGAGCCCTTATGAGTGTGTGTTACCAGGTAGGCACCATTTACACTGGATAAGCCGATTGCTTGTGATTGCAGGACTGTCTTCTAAGAGGCTGTATGAACCTCTGGGCCTTAGGACAGCCTGGCCAGTGGGGAGGAATGGGACAGAATGTGTCCACTATCTCCTGTCTGCCATTGGTCAAAGCTTTGCTGACCTCACCCTTCAGGGCTCTGCATATGAGGTCCATCAGTGGCGTCTCATACTTCGGAGACTGCAGGTAGCCCCAAGGCAGGAAGGAGAGGTGTGCAGTGTAGGTGTGACCTGAGAGCTTTGTCAGGTCATGCCCCCTGGGAGCTGCCTGAGCTGCTGCTGAGTTGATCACTCAGACACGGCTGGAGCACAACCAGCAGCCAAGGGTCCCAGAGTGGGACTGGGTGGCCCATGAGAGGCATCTCACCTGTAGTGCATGCAGCCGGCTCTCTGCAAACATGTGAAGATGTGTAGGGACAATGAACAGGAATTTAATTTCTTTCAGTGATAGAGCTAGGTTTCCCAACGGGACAATTTCTGTAAAGTTCTTGGCCTGCTACTTACGAAAGGTCAACACGTCAGCCACTATATTACTATTATCATCCATGATGTCAACCTTGCTCCATCTCTGTCACCTGGAAGAGGTGTTTCTTGGTCATCCCCTGGCACTGCATCTAACACATGGCAGGTGGTCTTTTTCCAAAGGCTGTCTCTCTCCCACCCCATTCCACCTATGTCACTCAGGAAGTGGATTTGGTCAAGGAAAGAGAAACTGGGCCTGAGGGCAGGCAGGGTGGGGCTCGGGGAGCGGGCCCTCAGCTGCATTTCCCCAGATGGCTTCCTCCTGCCCTGCCCAGGTCTGCTTCTGCTTCTCTCCACTTGGTCAGCAGACGTGAACCAATGCGGTAGGCCTCCTGCCCAGCTGCTGCAGCCGGGACCTGCTGATGTATAGGGCAAGTCTGAGGGTGTAGGCCCCTCCTCAGGCTGAGCAGCTGGGGAAGGAGAAAGCTGCCAGCTGGGTTAGCGGTCAGCTAGAATCAGGTATGGAAAATGCCAAGAGCTCCTGTCTGGGGGCAGCTGGAGCCTGCCATGAAGCATCTCTTCCACATGGCCTTGGCCCTGCAGCAGACCCTTCTCCTTATTCCATTCTGGCCTTGGTCTCTCCCACTACCCTTAGTCTGGAATGAAGGCCTGCTGGCCTTTGAACAATTTGGTGGTTCCATATTGGAGCCTAAAACCAGGGTCAGGCTCCCCCAGGAAAACAGCTCGACTTGACAGTGATGGGGAGGGTGTCCAGGGCTGAGGCTGCATTCCTTTCTGTCCCCGCACTGCCCCTGGAGCAAAGAGTCCCATGGCCTTCCCCACTCTAGAAGCCCACCCAACAGCCTGCATCAAAAAACTCCTCCAGACCTGTTTTCAGAGGCCCAGTAAAAAAAAAAGCTCTGGTCAGCCTGAGGGGTGCAGCACAAGGACTTTGTGTGTGACCCAAGAGTTTAGCTCGTGTGTTGTGGGGCAATCGTATGTATGTCTAATACTTCAGAGTTACAATGAGATCCCCAATGTCTGGCCTGCTGGCCTTTGAACAATTTGGTGGTTCCATATTGGAGCTTAAAAGCAGGGTCCAGCTCCCCCAGGAAAACAGCTTGACTTGAGAGTGATGGGATCCCCATTGATTCATTTTTTTGTGCATTCGTCCAGTAAATAAGTTATGAACTCTAGAAGAAGGATGATCATGAAGTCCAGCAGCAGCAGGAAGGCAGTTCACAAACAAGTAACTAAAATACCAAGAGAGGAGGCATACTATCAGCTCCCAGAGGAGGAGAGATGAGCTCTGCCTGAGAGAGCCAGGAAGGAATTGTGGAGAAGAGCTTTTTAAACTAGGTCATGAAGGATAAGTAGGAGTTTGACAAGGGGAAACACGGAGAGGCTGTAGACAGGGTTGGTGCATTCCAAGAAGAAGGAAAAATATGCCACGCTGTGGGGTTGGAGGAATGTGTGTGTGTTCATTCTCATTCCATAAAATGTTGTTAAATACCTACTACGTTCCAGGTAATTGGGTTAGGTTAGGTTGCAGGAATGCAGAAAAGAACAAGGCAAACATAATTCTTACCTCTTTCTAGTGGAAAAGGGAAATTAAACAAACAAAAATCACATAGGTAATTGTATATTGACAATAGTCCCATGCCTGTGGAGGGGAAGAAGAAGGAGCTATAGAAGCATGAATGGGGTGAGAGGAGCCCGTTTGATCTGAGGATCAGGAGAGTTATGCCTGAGGAGGAGATAGATGAGCTGCCTCCTGAGGGATGAGTGGGATTAGTCAGGCAAGGCATTCCAGTAAGAGAAAACAGCACGTGGATGGGCCTGATGTAGAAGGGACACAGAGTCCAGAGTATCTGAAAGTAGTTCAGATTCCATAGAGCAGCCAGACTTCCAGGAGGCAGGCAGCGGGGGATGCTGGAGGGCCAGAAGGCTTTGAGCTTTATTCTAAGAGCAAGGGGAGGGATGCAATGAAATTTGCCTTATGAAGAAGACCCCTCTGGCTGTTGCATGGAAAATGGAGTGGAGCGAGAATGGATGTGTTGAGGCCGATTAGAGCAGTGATTCGTAATCTAAGCAGCAAATTAGAATTACCTGGGGAGCTTGTAATAAGGGTGATTGGAGCCCGCTCCCAGAGACTCTGCTTTACTTGGTTTGGGATAAACCTTGGGTATTGGTAATTTTTTAAAGTTCTGCAGGCATTTTTTTTTTTTTTTGAGACGGAGTCTCGCTCTGTCGCCCAGGTTGGAGTGCAGTGGCGCGATCTCGACTCACTGCAAGCTCCGCCTCCCGGGTTCACGCCATTTTCCTGCCTCAGCATCCTGAGTAGCTGGGACTACAGGCACCAGCCACCACGCCCAGCTAATTTTTGTGTGTGTGTATTTTTAGTAGAGACGGGGTTTCACCGTGTTAGCCAGGATGGTCTCGATCTCCTGACCTCGTGATCCGCCTGCCTCGGCCTCCCAAAGTATTGGGATTACAGGTGTGAGCCACTGCGCCCGGCCATCTGCAGGCATCTTAAATGTATATCCAGGGTTGAAAAGCCTTCAGTTAGAAGGACATTGCTTTAAAGAAAAAGAAGGGAAAAAAGGAGAAGGGGTAGGAGAAAAAGGAGGAGGAGAAGAAAAAGAAGAAAAAAGGAAGAGAAAGAGAAAGAGGAGAAGAAGAAGAAGAATGGTGACTTTGCTTTACTACAGGTCATAGAGGATGGTAGCTTGGCCTAAAGAAGTGGTGTTGCAGAAGAAAGCAAATGCTGGATGCTTTTAGGAGCAGAATGGATAGTAGTAACCATGAACTGCCAGATTTTGGTTTTGGGCAATTCTCTGAGAAATAAAACAATGGAGAAATACCAACTGTGAGGTGCATGACATGAATTCAAATTTGGACATATTGGATCTAAGGTACTTATGAGCCGTCTAAGTGGATAGCAGGCAGTTGAATATATAGATCTGGAACTCAAGCCTAGCACAGTGGCTCTCACTCCTGTAATCCCAGCATTTTGGGAGGCTGAGGCGGGTGGATCACCTGAGGTCAGGAGTTCGAGACCAGCCTGACCAACATGGTGAAACCTTGTCTCTACTAAAAATACAAAAATGTGCTGGGCATGGTGGCATGCGCCTGTAATCCCAGTAATAGGGAGGCTGAGGCAGGAGAATCGCTTGAACCCAGGAAGAGGAGGTTGCAGTGAGCTGAGATCGTGCCACTACCCTCCAGCCCAGGTGACAGAGCGAGACTCTGTCTCAAAAAAGGAAAAAAAGAAAAAAAAAATCTATAGCTCAAAGATGTCTGGATCAGGGGTATAAATTTGAGAGTTAAAGATGCAGATGCAGAGATATTATTTGAGTTGTGAATGGGAATGCCTAGCAAAAGGAAACTCTACGTAGGGTTGGATGGAAGGGGTGGGAGGGTAGAAGAGGGCCTAGGACCTAGTCTGAGATACCCTAGTAGTAGAGGTTGGGTAGAGGAGAGGAGTTGGCAACAGGGTCTATAAAGGGGAGGCCAGGAGAGTCTTGAAGCCCAGAGCGGTTAATGCTTCAAATGGTCCTGAAAGTCAAACGACCTGAGGTGTGAAACATGTTTATTTGATTAGCAGCCTCTAGGACATTGATGATTTTGGAGACAGGTGGAGTGATTAGGGCAAAAGCCAGACTGGAGTGGCTGCAAAGGGAGGAAATGCAGAGGACACAGCAAGAGGTTGGTTACAGAGGAAGTCAGAGTGGGTGGCAGTTGCAGGAGGGGATTCTGGGATCAAGGAAATGTTTGTTAAGATGGGAGAGAACTGAGTAACTTGAAAGATTGTTGGAAAGGAGAGGAAGGGGTTGAAGATACAGAAGAAAGGAGGGATCCTTGACAATGTAAAGAGATGGGATGGGATCCAGTTGCTGGAGGAGGAACTGGGATCAGCTTGAAGGACTAGTCCTCTACTGCAACAGGAGGGAGACATGAGTGGTTGCATCCAAACATGGATAACTTTGTCTCTTTCGAGCTGAGAGGTTAAGAGACTTCTCATCTGATAACTTTCATATTCTTGGTGATGTCATCTCCTGGGATTGAGGGGAGAGTGCTGGGGAGGAGTCTCTAAGGGTGGGTAGTCAGAGGGCTGGAAATTTGAAGAGAGTTGGTGTGATCTACTATATTTGTTGGGGAGAGATGAAGAGTTGGGTGGCCAGAGAAGCACAATAGAATGTGAGGCTGGATGACAGCCCTGGAGGAAATGCTGGTCAAGAATTTAGAGTGGTGCTAAACTCTGGAGTGGTTTTCTGGCACTTAGTGAGGTTGTATTGTATTAATTATTTATTGCTGTATAGTAGGTTATCCCAAAACTTGTTAAAATTACAAATGTTTATTATCTCAGTTTTGGGTCAGGAATTTGGGCACAGCTTAGCTGGGTGCCTTTGCTTCAAAGTCTATCACAAGGTCAGAGTGCAGTCAGAGTGCCAGCCAGGGCTGGGGTCCCATCTGAAGGCTCAACCAGGGGAAGGTCCACTTCTAAGCTCACCCATGTTGTTATTGCTAGGATTAAGTTTCCCACAGGCTATTGGGCTGAGGCCTCAGCTCCTCTCCAACTTTTGACCTGAGGTCCCCTTGGGTTCCTTGCCTCATTGGCCTCTCTATAGAGCAGCTCACAACATGGGAGCTGGCTTTTCTCAGAGCAAAGAAGGGTGAGGGAGGGTGTGCAAGACGGAAGCCATGATTTCTTTTCAATCTAATCTCAGAATTGATATCCCATGGTTTTCGCCTTACTTACATGGCAGAAGCAAATCACCAGGCACAGTGACTCTCCAGAGGAGGGGATTATACAAGGACATGAATACCAAGTGGTGGGAATCACCAGGGGCTGTCTCAGGCTGCCTGCCATCCTGTGTGGAGAGTGGGCTGAGGTTGTGGTCAGGTTGTGAAGAACCATGTGTGCCAAATGGAGAGATTTGAGTTTCATCCCATAGACTCTTTGGAGTCATGTGTGATTTTTAAGGCATGAGGTGGGTAGAAACTTCACTCTGTGAGACTGTTTGGTGCTGTAAGAGGAATCAACCCACAGGAACACAGCAGTGATGTGCCCTGGCCAGGCACGTGGAATGCATGTCCCAGACATCCACAGGGCTTATTCTCTCACACCCTTCAGGTCTTTACTAAAATGCAATCTTCTCCATGGGACCTCCTCTGACCACCTGATCCAAAATTGCACTTCCCAGCCCCACCCAGCATCCCCTATCCTCTGCTTTATTTCTCCATTACCTATCCCTATCAGGCCCATTATAAATTTTGTCACTTACTTCTTTATTTTTTATTATTGCTCTAACATTTTTATTATTTGCTCATTTTTGAACAAACTATGACCATGAAGCTGTTATTTCACATCTGTGCAAAAATGCTGGCCCCAAGTGACAGCAATGTAAGCAATGTAATCCCTCCTAGAATGTAAGCTCCACAAAGGCAGGGATTTTGGATTGTTCTGTGCACGTCTGTATCCCAGCGCCTGAGCATTTAGTAGGTACTCTATGAAGATTTGCTGAATGAATTATTTAGTAAGTAAAGTATATCTTGTCTCTCCAAATGCCATCTCCTTGCAGGAGTGAATATGAAAGGACTGCACCCCGTGAAGTCTGTGGGTGCAGAGAAGCAAGAGGAGGTGGTGAGCAGGGTGCTCTGAAGGGATGAAAATATAAGAAAGATTCTGAATCCAGAGGAAGACCTTTAGAAAGGAAATCTTTCCTCATCTGATCCTGATGGGTTGCAGAATTAGCTAATGCTTTGGGAATGACTACAAATAGGACTTTCTAGTAAAATAAGAACAACTACAGATGTGGCAAACTCGATGAGACGGCGTGAGTGGTGTAAGTGTTACTACTGCAGGCTGATTGGGGAGGGGTTCACTGAGGCCTCTCCTGGGCGCCCCAGTGGGCAAACACCTAGCTTTTTTTATGACTAAACTGAACTTCCCCTAGCCTCCTTGCCTTAGACATGCAAAGCATGCTGCCAAGGGAGGAATCTGTGGCCCAAGATGATTTTGCCCAGTGTGCCAGGAGTAGCAGTCCAGCCTGATAAGGAGGCAGGTGGGGCTGGGCCTAGGGTAAGGCAAGCCAGGCACCTGGCTCATAGCATTTAAGGAGGCATTCACTCTGGGGATCATGACAGTGCAGGCTCAGTACTTGCAGGAACCTAAAAATGAAAGCCTCTTTAAATCATGTGCCCTGGGTACCTCATTCTTCATAGGATGCTCATTTTCAGGGCAGAAACCATTATGACTTTTGGGGGCCCTAGGCACTTTTGCCTTTGTAGATTCCTTCCTCTATCTAAAAAATACCTATACATACACACACAAAATTATATTTTAGAACTGCATTGATATAGAGACAAATAATTCAAGCTGGATTTGATTTCTTTTTTCTGATTATAAAATACCTTAAAACATTTTCATAGGCTCTAAAACTATCATGGGTCCTGGCACTGCTACTGCAGCTGGTAGACAAATTCACCATGGCAAGGGGTCACCCAAACCTGAGAGGGAGTCCTCCTGTTGTTTCCACACTAGGTGTTTCACTTGCCTCACCCTAGTCCCAACCCTGGGCACAGGAATCTCTAAGTTAGCAAACTTCATTGAGGGAATTCATTTCCTGCACTTTTCTGAGCTTCAAATTCTTTATGTTTAAAATGGTTATAATAAAGTAGGAGTTGTTTATCACCATATAAATAAGAAAATATAATAAAATTGGGCCAGGCACGGTGGCTCATGCCTATAATCCCAGCACTTTGGGAGGCCGAGGCGGGTGGATCATGAGGTCAGGAGATTGAGACCATCCTGGCTAACACGGTGAAACCCCATCTCTACTAAAAATACAAAAAATTAGCCGGGCATGGTGGCGGGCACCTGTAGTCCTAGCTACTTGGGAGGCTGAGGCTGGAGAATGGTGTGAACCCGGGAGGCAGAGCTTGCAGTGAGCCAAGATCGCACCACTGCACTCCAGCCTGGGCAACAGAGCGAGACTCTGTCTCAAAAAACAAAAAAAAAGAAAATATAATAAAATTACCACAAGATCCAGCAATTCCACTCATAGATATCTACTGAAAAGAATAAAAAGTAGAAACTCAGACAGATACCAGACACCAATGTGCACAGCAGCACTATTCACCACAGCCAAAAGGTGGAAATGACCCAAATGTCCATTGACAGACGAATAGACAAACACAATGTAATCTCTACATACAATGGAATATTATTCAGCCATAGGGAAGAATGAAATTCTGATACATGCCACAACATGAATAAGCCCAAACACATTACACTAAATGAAATGAACCGTACTCGAAAGTCCAAATATTGTATGATTTCACATATGTGAGTTACCTATGTTAGGCAAATTCAGAGAAACAGAAAGTAATTGAGCTTCTGTTTGGAATGATGCAAAAGTTCTGAAAATGGATAGGGGTGACAGTTGCACAAGTTGTGAATGTACTTAATGTCACCAAATTTTACACTTAAAAATAGTTAAAATGGTAAATTGTATGTATATTTTCCACAATAAAAAAAGAGAATGCCTTATCGGCATAAGCGCTTTATATAGGGTAAAAAGGCACACAGACGTAAGAAATCTTTATTGTCCCCATTGACAATTACCATATTGCTGTGGTGAATAAGTCTTCCAAAGTTCACAGACAGATTGGCAGGCATAAAACTGCTATGTAAACACAGCCTTCTCCAGCCCAGACTTGTTGCTCACCACCCACTATGGCCTGCAGATTTGATGACCAAGTTGATGAATGGACGATAGCCAAGATTCTTGAAGCTCTGGGTGGCACAGGGCGTACACTTCCTGGAAACCTGTCATTCCTTGCTGTCTGACAGCATTCTCTTTGGGGGCCAGAGATTATGGTTTTGGCCGAGACATCTAAGATAGTCCTGGTATTGGTAGCATAAGGAGTGACCCACGAGAGGCCAAGTTACCCACCAGGCCCTGACAGTGCACTTTGTACTGACGTTGGCCTGATCCAATTTCCTGGTTTGGAAAGAATGTTCTGATCTCTGAATAAACTGAAAGGGGAGCTTCATTTTGACCTGGGACAGGGACCTGTAGGTCTCAGTGTCTGAGCTACTTCTTTTTCCACTGAGCAAATCCTACTTTCAAAGATGAAGTCTTAAAAAACCACAGAAGAGGTGATGGGGTGGGGGGACCCCCGGGACCAAAGGGCCCTTTATAAACAAATTCACTCCAGGGTTTCTTCAGTAACAAGTCTGTCAGGCCGGGTGCGGTGGCTGACGCCTGTAATCCCAGCACTTTGGGAGGCCAAGGCAGGCGGATCACAAGGTCAGGAGATCGAGACCATCCTGGCTAACATGGTGAAACCCCGCCTCTACTAAAAATACAAAAAATTAGCCGGGTGAGGTGGCGCACGCCTGTAGTCCCAGCTACTCGGGAGGCTGATGCAGGAGAATGGCGTGAACCAGGGAGGCAGAGCTTGCAGTGAGCAGAGATCGCGCCATTGCCCTCCAGCCTGGGCAAGAGAGCGAGACTCCGTCTCAAAAAAAAAAAAAAAAAAAAAGTCTGTCTAGTGCTAGCTGAGTTTTGGGGATGCCCTGCCTCTCATGGGAGCCTATGGACTCCCTGGAATTTGTAAGCCTATGTTGGTATTTGCAGAGAGAAAATCCATAGTTTCCATCAGATTCTCAAAGGGAATCTTTGAGACCCCCAAACTGCTTTAAAACCACTGTTCCTGTGAATTTAAGATGTGATCATTCCTAGTTTTCAGGGGACATATAGATTGGCCAAACCAGATAATGAACCACACACATCTGGTGGCAGACAAGGTGCAGTGTTTCCGTGGGGCAGGGGTCGGGGGTTACCGCTGAACCCTCCTACCTCTTCTCCTAAATGAAGTGATTCATTTTTGAACAAACTATGACCATGAAGCTGTTGTTTCACATCTGTGCAAAAATGCTGGCCCCAAGTGACAGCAAAATCTCCTTGTTGACCATGACTCCTCCTCACTCAGCCAGATTTTGGTATGTGTGTGTAAATGACACACCCAAGTCAACAATTCAGAAAAGAGTCTGAAACAATTGCTCCTAGAAGAGACCCTCCAGGCCTTGCTGATCCCTTTAATAGCTCCTTGTGGTCTACTGTAAGCCCCCAAACAGAGTCTTGGTTGATCTGCAGAGTCTTTTGGCCAGGCTGGCAAGCAACAGGCAGATGGCAGCTCGCCGGTCCCTGCAAGGGAGGGTACGTGATGAGGAGAAGGGTCATAATGAATGGGTAATTTAAAGGCTCTGAAGAATGACTCAGACATTCCAATGGGGCTTTATTTTTTCCTTTTGTTGATGTGTGAAATGTAATTGTAGTCATTTTTTCCAGTGAGTTGATAAACAGTGATTATCCATGCAGCTTGTGAGCTGGGGTCATCGTGAACCAGTTCACATTTCAACATTTTTCTCTCCCTCACCCCCAACACCTGGGTTAACTGCTCCAAGCCTGAGGTTGGAGGTTTCTTGATCCCAGGAATTCTAGCAAAGGTGCAGGATGCAAAAGGTCAGAGGGGGCTGTCTGGGAAGGGTGGCCATAGGGAGAACTGGAAACCTGTGAGCTCTGGCTTGACCCTTTGCCTTACCCAACAGTCCTTTGTTACCTAGGATGAAGGTTAGGGCAGAGAAGTGATTTGTTTGGCATCAGAAAGATGGTCATCAAGAAAGGGAGAGAAGGCAATATCTGGTGAGCACCTTCTCACCACATACTGGTCCAGGTGCTGTGCTAATGAATGCTTTCCACAAGCGTCATTTCATGTCATGCTCAAAATAGCAGAGAAGGGGTAAACTTGAATACATACTCATACCTGATCTTTGCAATAATTCTCCTAATGAGTTATTGCCTCCTCCCCATTTACAGATGAGGAAACTGAAGCACAAAGAATTAAGTCACATGGTCAGATAGTGGGTGGTGGGGGAATTGAGATTTCAACCCAGATCTGTCTATTTCCAAAATCTGTTCTCTCACTACCACACAAGGCTGCCTCTCATCAGAGAGCTGACCTCGCTGGCCCTACTGGCCCTGTAAGGACAGCGATCTTGTATGCCTGGCTGTGCCAATGTGGTAGAGCCACGGGTAGTTCCTCGGCACCAGCTGCAGTGATGCAGGCTGCCACAGAGAACCTGCTCTACCCATCACCTTGGTGCTGGTTAACAGACCTGCAAGGGAATGACGATGGGCAAAACCGGCTTGGGAGCTGTGTGTTATTGATGTCTCTGTCCTCCTCTAGGTGAGGGGACAGGAGTGCAGCTCTTTAGATTGACATCACAATTGTATTCGAGTTCTCCAGAGAAACAGAACAAATTAGGCAATTTTATACACACACACACACACACACATACACGAGCAGATTACTATAAAAATTGGCTCATGTGGTTATGGAAGCCCAAAAGTCCCACAGTCTGCCATCTACAAGCTAGGGAAACAGGCGTAATTCAGCGGTGTATTTCAGCTCAAGCCTGAAGGCCTAAAACCCAGGAGGCTGAAGGTGTAGAGTCCAGGTGTGAGTCTGAAAGCCTGAGAACCAGGAGTACCAGTATCCGAGGGTTGGGGAAGCCTGATGTCCCAGCTCAGGCAGAGAGAGAGAATTAATCCTTCTTCCACCTTTTTGTTCCGTTTGGGCCCTCAGTGGATAGGATGATGTGATCTCCATTGGGGAAGGCATCAGTCCACCAATTCACCAATCCAAATGCTGATCTCTTCCAGAAATACCCTTGCAAACACACCCAGAAATAGTATTTTATCAACCACCTGGGCATTCCTTAGCCCGGTCGAGTTGATGCACAAAACTAACCATTGCAGCGATGCCAGAGCACAGCCTTCACTCTGCGGGGAAATTCTCTGTGGTGGCATTCGGCAATAGCAACCCAAAGACTACTGTGGGGACTCCCAGGACAGGATCCTATAGTCCAAATCTCACTGCTGGCATTGGATAAAGGACAAAGAAGTAAGCCAGGACTGGGGTGGTTCCGTAGGGGCTGTTTAAGGGTGTCCTAGCTGCACTGCTCTCTCGAATCCACTTAGTGAGAGCCCCTGACACAGTCTGGGTGTATGGCGATGAGGCCAGCCGAGGGTGGGAAAGTAACAGTGGTGAGAGATAGAAGGGCTTTGGGGAAGGAAGTCTTGGTGAAGATTGGACTGGGCGGGGCAAGGAATTAGGGAAAGCAGAAATGAAAAAGAGATCTGAGGTAGAGATTAGAAAAATGGGAGGATCTTTTTCAGTGTATATTAAAAACTAGGTGAAGTTTGGACCTCCAAACTAAAATGTGAATCAGATTCACAAGCTTAATAATCACAAATTTAAAGAGAGAGTCAGGTGAAGAGGAGCAGGTACCTTAGAAGAGCCTTGGAGCCTTGCAGCAAGAACTGCCACTAACACCAGGGGCCCTGAGCTACTGTTTCTCATCATTGAACAGGGGCTGTAACTCCTCAAAGCAGTTGATGACAACATTTTGCATGTAGAAGGCACATGATACATCATCATACCCTTTCTGGTAAGGGTGGGTAAATCTATAATTATTCGGGTGATGTGGAAACTGTACGTTTAAAAGACAAACTGAAAAATAAATCATTGCAAAGTCTATTTATATGAAGAAGAATTGGGGTGCAGGAAGAAAGGGACAGGAGGCCTCTGTAGCTTTGCTCTCAAAGTGTAGTTTGTGAAGCAGAGGCATTGGCGTCCCAGCACCTTGTTAGGAGTGCAGACTCTCAGGCTCCACCCAGAATCAGAATCTGCATTTTTTTTTTTTTTTTTGAGACGGAGTCTCGCTCTCTCGCCCAGGCTGGAGTGCAGTGGCGCAATCTTGGCTCACTGCAAGCTCCACCTCCCGGGTTCACGCCATTCTCCTGCCTCAGCCTCCTGAGTAGCTGGGACTACAGGCACCCACCACTATGCCCAGCTAATTTTTTTGTTGTTGTTGTTGGTATTTTTAGTAGAGACAGGGTTTCATCATGTTAGCCAGGATGGTCTCAATCTCCTGACCTCGTGATCCGCCCGCCTTGGCCTCCCAAAGTGCTGGGATTACAGGCGTGAGCCACCATGCCCGGCCAGAATCTGCATTTTAACCAGAGCCCTGTAAGAGTCACATGCATTGCAGTTTGAGAAGTGTTTCTGCTTTACAAACTTGGTAGAGGAGAGCAAAATCACCCAAAGAGTTTTAAAAATACGGATGCCTGTGTCTCACTCCCACAGTTAGGGATTTCACTGGTCTGGGCTGAGGCTTGGGCACCGAGATTTTTCTAAAGTTCCCCAGTGATTTGAATG